>NC_000013.11:70832348-70983863 GCF_000001405.40 Homo sapiens | reverse complement strand
CATAATATTTTTTAAGGATCATTTTAAACTTTTCAGTGGTAATTCAAATTTGGCAAAGTATCAGATTATTACATTCGACTCAATTTGCCTAATTAAATCGACCCACTTGCCTTACTTCTTTTACACACAAAGTTTTTCTATTTATATAATGTAACAAGATAGTATATTTCTATTAAAACAACAGATAACTGCATTTAACATGTATTAATTATATCAAAATGCCTTCTGAAACTGATTTTTATTTCCTAGCTGAAGCATTTAAGAAGCACCTGTTTTGGGGTTCTTTCTCTTTTGTCTTAATTTTACTAATCAATTCTCTGTGGTTTATGATAAACCAGAGTGTTTCTCTAATTAATGAAAATAATTGTTTTCATTCATCAATGCATATAGATTATATGACATTTAAAAATTGAAAAAATTGTTTTTAATATTATCATTTTATTGTACTTCCAAAGTCATCTACCAACAAACTGGCAATTTTCTTCTTTGAGCATGGATGATAGGAGTCAAAAGAGGAATGTTTGTCATTAATATAAACCAGATATTTCAATTCTCTAGCAACTGAGTACATGGTAAAGATTGCATTTCCTTGTCTCTTTCCATGGGCAGAGACTTTTGAGTTATTTTGGTGAACAAATTTTGAGCTGCAATAACGTGTGTCACTTCTGGGATAGAGTTTCCCTTTCCTGGTGTAGAAACCCAAACCCCACAAGTACTTTTTACTATCTCATAGCAACAAGCAATGAGATAATAGCTCTGTGTCACACTGCGTCACAGAGTGATGTAGCATTTGAATGAAATAAATCTTAAATTTAGGGCTTCTTTGGTATGACAGCATAACCTGGCTGATATGGAGGCCATTACAGCCTAAGAGATCAATTTTGTTGTTGTTGTTGAGACAGAGTCTCAGTCTCACTGTGTTGCCAGGCTGGAGTACAGTGGCACAATCTTGGTTCACTGCAACCTCCACCTCCCAGGTTTAAGCAATTCTCCTGCCTCAGCCTCCCGAGTAGCTGGGACTACAGGCGTGCACCAGCACACCCAGCTAATTTTTGTATTTTTAGTAGAGACGGGGTTTCTCCATGTTGGCCAGGATAGTCTTGATCTCTTGACCGCATGATCTGCCCGCCTCGGCCTCCCAAAATGCTGGGATTACAGGCGTGAGCCCCCACACCCGGCCAATAGATCAAATTTTATATCAAACCAATGCTTCAAGTATTATTGATTGAGGTAGGTAGAATAATGTCCTTTCTTCTTTAGTCCCAACCCTTCAATAAAAATGCTCATGTTCTATTCCCTGGAAACTCTGAGGCTGGAAACTGCAGCTAAAACCTATTAGGTCACATGGCAAAGAGGAATTAAGGTAGCAGATACAATTAATTTTGCTAATCAGTTGAATGTAAGATGGAGATATTTCTTGGAATTACACAACCAGGCCTAATGCAATCATAAGTGTCCTTAAAAATGGAAGAGGTGGCAGGAGGAGAAAAATAAGAGGAAATGATGACCGTAGCACATTGGAAAAGGAGATGCAATGTTAGCTTTGAAGATGGAGGAAGGGTGCTATGATCAAAGGACTGCAGGTGGCTGCTAGAAGCTGGAAAAGGAAAAGAAATAGAATCTTTCCTACAGCCCCCAGAGAAAGCTGCTCTGTGGATACCTTGATTTTAGGCAAGAGTTATCTGTGATAGACTTCTGACCTCCAGAACTATGAGGTAATACATTTAAATTGGTTATTTTAAGCCATTAATTTTGTGGTAACCAGTGACATTTACTGGTGTTCTTTGTAAAACTTATACTTTCTGTATTTTACATATTTTAACAGCATTATACAGAAATGTATTAACAAACATTTATAGAGTAACCATTGTGATACTAGATTCAAAACACTTAGCTGTAAATTAAAGGTACAATAGTGAATAAGACATACCTACTCCTTATAATCATAGAATAAATAATAATATAGAATTTCCAGTATATAAGCTTTATTATTAACCATAAAAGCAAGTTCATTGAAAATACTATTCAACGTAAAAAGATGACAGTAACGTCTCCAAAATAAGCCATTTAATTTATAAAATTTTGTTTATCTAAAGAAGATTTATTGGAGCAAATCCAAGGATGCTAGGCAGCAAACTCTTTGTCACACTGAAGTTTAATTGCAAAGTAGGCCTATTTGCATATTGTTCATCACGCTACATTTCATTCGCTGTCCTAGTTAGGTTCTCCAAATAAATGATACTGTGGGCTGGTGTGGTGGCTCATGACTGTAATCTCAGAATTTTGAAAGCCCAAGGAGGGAGGATGAGAACAATGGTTCAAGACCAGTTGGGCAAAAGAGTGAGAGCCAGAAAAAGAAAAGAAAGAAAGAAAGAAGAAAAGAAAGAAAGAAAGAAAAAAAGAAAGAAAGAAAGAGAAAGAAAAAGAAAGAAAGAAAGAAAAAGAGAGAGAGAAAGGAAAGGAAAGGAAAGGAAAGGAAAGGAAAGGAAAGGAAAGGAAAGGAAAAGAAAAGAAAGGAGGGAGGGAGGGAGGGGAGGGATGCAGGGAGGGGAGGAAGGAAGAGAAAATAAATTAACTGGGCATAATGGTGTGCACCTGTAGTCCCAGTTATTTGGGAGGCTGAGGCAGGAGAATCCCTTGAGCTCAGGAGTTCAATGCTGCAGTAAGCTGTGATCACGCCACTGTACTGCAGTCCTTTTATGTTCTGTTCCGTTTGTTTGATATGCTTCTTACTTGGCAATCTCTTATGCATTCTTCTTTTCCATTTCTACTCATATTTCACTTCTTCTAAGAGACTTCCCTGACCCTCTTAGTAGCTTAGCTTATCTAGTTAGGTTTATGTTCCGGTTTTTGATGCTCACAACTACCACATTTCAAAATAACATTAAAACAAAACATTTTTATGTGATATATAATAGAAAACAGGTACAAAAATAAGTGGGAGACATAAGTGAGTATTCAGAACATACACAGGAATATAAGATAATTGGTTCATGATTAAATCGGATATAAAGACCATATTTAAAAACATTTATGACATTGTATAACATGTGTTAAAGTATGCCAAAGGGAGGATAATTAGATAAAAGAATTTTCTTGGGAGTAATGTTGACATTCTCTGATGCTGAGACCATCTCTCAAACCCAGGAAGAAAGATAGAAGTTGCTATCCTCCTACCCAAGAACAGTGAGAGATTTTCTTTTAGGAGACCACTCAGGGAAATTGACATGCATCCCCTGGAGCCGAGGCACTCTGCAGGCTGGTGCCTCACTCATGCTTAAGCCAGCCTGTGTGGCCTATGTGGTGGCTGAATGGGCAGGTGGATGCTAAGTTTGGCTATAGTATATTTCTATCAGTGATGAAGCAAGGGACTCTGGAACCATAACAAGTTCTTTCTCTGGGTGACCACGTATTTATTGCCTTTTGTCTTTACTAACTCCTAACTCCATCTCTCCAGTAGAATCCTGTAGATATGTAGCTGTACCATATGACTGACACATAGTGAGCACACAATAAGTTGGACATTGAAGAATGAATTAATGTAAGAGGAGTTGACAAATTGATTTTAATCCAGAAAAATAAAGTAATCAAAAATAGGTGTTTTTTTTTAAGCCAGAGACTTACAAAGCAATCATAGATAACATATTTTTTCTAATTTTCCTAATACTTATATTAAGTAGATTAGTCATATTATTAGCACTGTGTCTCAAATCAGATAAACAGCTTAGAAAGAAATAACAATGTGTCTAGTAACAACAGGATTTTTCTATTTTTTTGTGTTTTCCTCCTTTATTACATCATGCTGACTTAAAACATCATTTGAATTAAGTGATATAAAGGTCACTATTTTGTGTACACGGAAGTACTAGAGGAAGCTTTTTTGAAAATTGGCATCTTTCCTTAATTATTCTTATTATTAATTGACATAGATGTGTGTATATCCATATAATCTATTGATAGAAAGTTGAAAACAATTAATTAAAAGCTGAAAACTTAATTTATCAGTCATAATATCACAAAAATACACATGACTGATAAAGCCCCACTTTAAATATTGTTTTCCATATTTTTTTTCATTAAAAGCATAGCTAATTTAATAGCCACACCTTGACCATGCAGCTTTTTTATGGAATCCGCTTTCATTACTAGTCACAGTTTTGCCAAGTAAGCTTCAGGGGGAAGTAATTAAATTTAATAGAAGCCACCTTCATTTTGAATCTGCCGTCAATTTAAAGGCATGGGGAAATGTAATTACATTTAATAGACACCATAGCTTCTAGACGAAGATGTACGGTATATGACGTTAATCATTAGCCCAACAGTCTGAAAAGTAAAAAATCACTTAGAACAAACTCCTTACAAGTAAACTAGACCACCCTTTTCCTTTTCAACTTATTAGAAGTAAAAAATGATGCTTATTTGGTTCTTAAATATGTTATTGAAATTTTATTCTGAAGATCCAGTTCATTGATTTCAAGCAATGAAATGAAGGTAGATAGCATTTATGAATCCCATTGCAGTATTATTAACTCTTAAGGAAATGTATTGATATACTCTTTATCAAATATTCTTTAGGCTCAATAACATCTTTCTCCTTTCTAATTGCCGAGACTGGCACAATAGAATAAACTGCTTTTTAAATCCATTCTTATATTAGTTTTTTTTAAAAAATGCTGTGCTTTATGTAAATTAAAGATGTTTGCTGAGTTTCAGTATATAGGAGTTTTAAATCAGTGAAAGATCATAATAAATATGAAAGCAGAACATTCCCTTTTGGTAAACACATCTACAAGCCTGACTGCATTTCACTAAGCATTTTATAGGTTCATTATGCCATTTGGCTCACATTGAAGTCACCTTAGGTTTAATTTTTATTTTTTTCTTCATGGTGTATGAATAATTTTTGGCTTCTGTTTAGACATTTGATTTTAGAAATAGTTTTTGAATCAGATTTGGATAATGAGCTCATATAAAGTTCTCATAAAATTAGAAGGAATTTCCCAAGGGTTCATGAAATTAAAGGTGCACCTAGAATTAGTAAAATTTACAACACTGTTTTAGAAACCTAGGATTATTACTTTCCATTGTCACTTCTATTCAACATGTTGTTACTTGTATACATTCTGGCTAACACACAGAGGGAGGCAAGGAACAGGGAGGTAAGCGAATGAATGAGAATTTTTTTTAGGATTACAGACAAGGCAAACGTTTCAATCAAAAATAAAATTAATCCAAGTAACATTTTTCCACTTACCTAAAGCATACTAATAAAGATAAATATTCACCAATTATTTAAGTAAATTGCAAAGGCATTCTTTTGTAGAAATAAAATACTGTAGACAGCATTTTAAGAAAATTATTTAAAATAATACATTCACCATGTTTTAAATTCATTTTTTTACATCTATACCTCCCAGTTATTCTTCTAACTATCAGTCTTTTATGAAATACCAATGTCGACTTCATGCAGTTATCAAGTACATATTCAGAATCTATTGGTTAATTATCTTTAATAATGTCACTTACAGCTCTCAAGGGATATATTTATAAGAGTCTCTCTAAGACTGTAACAAACAGTTATTGAAGGTCAGGTTTTACTGGATTTTTAAAAACATTCATCATCACGTTTAGTGAAGTAAATAGTTAAGATTAATCACATCTGTTGCATTGGTTAGGTATCTATTGACATCCCTCAAATTTTCTAAAAAAGACATCCAAATAATGTGCTTCACATTTTCAAAAATTTCTAAATTTTCAGTATTTCGTTTACCCAAAAGAACAAAATCTGAACAATTAAAAACAAACCCTCTGGTTTTCTCTTTAAATGTAAACATTACTTGTCCTACATGTTTGCAACAGCCCAAGGAATCATTAGAAATCCGTACATATTTAGTAGTAGTAAAATAATTCTATTCAGCAAACTTTCTAGAAATCAAATTATGTAATCTATGCATAAAGGGGAATTTTACGTTACTATTTAAAAGTTACTGTTTAAAAGTCTTTAAAACTTGTTCATATTTAAAAAGCTTTGTGTAAAACAAGAATTATATTTAAACATATAATTGAATATTTTTTCATTTAACTCACTATACACAGACTTTTCCAATTTTCAAATATTGGAAGATAATACACTTGTTGAATGATAGCTATCTCAGAACGACTCTTAACAGTTAAAAGCTTACCCTTATTTATTGTATTTTATTTTTGCTTTTCCCAAATACTCTGTGAAGAAATTGCTATTAAAAACAAATAAAGAACCACCAAAAATGATTTGTTAACCACATGCATTTATGAAATCCCTTCGATTTAAAATAAAGATGACAAAACAGATTATTTCTACTAAAATTACACAATGATAATTTAGGAAAAACAGTAATATTTTAGAAGAGCATTGTTGGTAATTACTTTTTGGTATCAACAGATATTGCTTAAAAACCAACATTCAAATAAGGCATCTAATATCATTATATGATAAAGATATATTTTACTTCTAGTGCTTTGCATAAATCCTTGACACCTGAAGCAAGTGCATCCAAGGTGCCTCATATGTTCTTAAGTTAGTTAGCTTATGAGTATATTGGAACTGAATAAAAGAAAAAATATAAATTTGCTAATGTTTAGCCCATACCTGCTCATATTCTTCCTTAGTGTTAAATATTTTCTGCTATCATTTCTATGTGAATATTGTCTTTACTCTAAGATGTCTGCCTACTATGTCATGAAACTCTGATACATTTCATTAGTGCTTTGCATGTATCTCCATTGGTCATATACCTCATATTTATTCACTTCACAAATTTTTATTAAAGACCTATTGTAAGCAGGAACTCTCACAGCTATTGACTACTACAATGAACAAAATAAAATCCATTCTCACATGGATCACATAAGTATTTTAATACTTTTTATGCCTCTGTTCAACTCATTCTTTGAAGGCTAATCTATCTTTGACTGCTATCTTGTTTATCTATTGTATTCATTTTTGACATGATTACCCATCAATTATCCATATATAAGTTAGTATACAGCATAATGTAAATGGGTACCACAAAGAGCTCCAAGAATAAAGTGCTCAGAGGAGACAGTAGTTTATTTCCCTGTTAAGTAATAGTGGAAAGGACAATGGGCAATTCTTGGCAAGTAGGAGATTTTGCTCCACAAGACTATCCAGAGACCCAAACTCTACATATACTGTTGCTACGCTATTCTATAGAGCATCAAACATCTAATGCAAGGCATAAATGCAAGCCAAATATGAAATCATAAATTTTTCTAGTAACCACATTTTAAAAAGTAAAGAGGTAACATTGTAATAATATGTTTTATTTATCCTCATGTATCCAAAATATTATAATTTCAATATATAGCAAATATAAATGGAATTATTTTACCTTTTTTATACTGTGGTACCAAAACTGAGTATATATTTTACACTTACAATCTTTGTAAATCTGAACTAGCCACTCAGTTCAGACTCGTGTCTGCCATATTGGAAAATGCAGTCATGGACCATTGCCCTTATCTCCTTTGTTGAATCTGGCTCGTTATCACTGTGTTTAGTGACACCTTAGATCCGGGCAAGAGGGGATGCTTTGTTGGGCTCTGGGTTTTAGCGGGTTTTGCTCTGGACTTCATTACTCTATGCTCCTGAGCACACGGAAGCAAACCCAAAACCAGTATCCCCAACTGAAATCTCTCCTCCTAATTTGACATTACTGTTAGAGTACTTGGGACCTCAGAACTCCCTGCCAAAAACTGTCTAAAACTGTCCAAAGCTGTCATTTTGAGGGTAGATTAGACACCAATGTGTGTATCAAAAAAACCAAGGATGACCATTTACTTGGGTTGTAGATGGGGCTTGGATATGTGATCTGGGACATCCTTGCATGTTTGGGACAGATTTCGCTGTGTAGAACAAAAAAATGAGGCAGAAATAGGATAATAATTATAGGCCTTGGGCTACATGCCAGGTTTTCTAATATTCTCATGTTCTTATGTAGAACTCATATGAGTCTGAAAAATTCTAAATTTAAACCTAGCCTTCCAGGTTGTTGGAAAGGTAAAATTGTCAAGGTAGGAAGATAGAGCACATAACTTTGTTATCTTGATTTATATCTTTTAAATATTTATACATGTTATGTGCATCTCCATTTGTATTCTTATCCCTGCTCCTACAAGTGTTAAGAAGTGTTTGGCTGCATTTGCATTAAGTAGGCAGAAGAGGGACAGAAAAAGAGACAAATGCATCCTCAATCATGTTAAGTATAATATCTGGAAATTTCACCTATGATTCCTACTCAAAACTCATGATAAAAAGCTCAATTACATAGCTTCATTTAACTGTGAAAGAGTAGAAAATATAGTATCCAGGTGAGAAGGCATGTGCCCAGTTAAAATATCTGTAAATGCATTACTAAATGCATACAAAGAAAATGAATACTGAGGGACAGTTAGAGGTATCGGCCATAGCCCACTATGTACTTTATATAGCACCAGACAAACCATGATAGAAAAGATATCATTAATGCCCTTAAAAAGTTTAAAAGCCTAGTGTGGACAACTAAATAAGCCATTATATTATAGCATAATAATTTTTAAAATAGGGTTACCATAATACAAGCTTCTTTGAAGGGCCAGTAAGAACAGCAGCCAATATGTTGTTGGCAGGGGAAAAATATGTCTAACTATGTTGTTATAAACACATTGCTGTACTCAATGAGTATTTTATGGGTAAGTTAGCTCTAATCGGACCGATTAAAAAATATGCTATACCTTTTTGTTTTTGCATTAAGTCATTTAGTCATAGATTCTCAGAACATGTTGAAAATTGAAGAGACATCCATGAAATAAAATATACATTACCTCACAGTTATAATCTTAACCAAAAGATAATTTTTCTCTATAGTGTTTGTTATATGTCCACTAAATTTTGTTTTAATTTCTCCAAACACTTTTATAAAGTGCATTCTTTTATTGATTATTCTGTGTTCTCAGAGTGTTTTGTATATTCTGCTAAGAGAGACACATTGTGTTGTAACACACTTAGCTCTCCGAACATCTGTTTTCCTTGCTTATGGAAAATTTGAGAACAGAGCTATATCCTATTCATTTTTATTTTCCTAGCATATTTCCCTTACTAACTACCTAGCATATTTATTTAAATAATCCATAACAGATAGATCTTTCACATCTGAGGGTGTGAAGGGTCTGATATATATCGTACTTGCACCCTAACAAATTATCCTACAGAACATCAACTTCTGCATAAGAAAGGAGAACTCACAAAGCAATCTTTTCTTTTTTCTTTCTAAATATTTATGAAGTGTTTGCTATAGGTCAGGTGACAAACTTTGCAATATAATAACAAACAAAACATATCTTTCCTCTCAATTAGTTGTATGTTGCCAATAACATTTCTGTGATCTTTTATTTTTCACGTGCCTTTTTATGAACAACATGGACTTCCCTTTTTTATTTCTGTCAAAACTGAAATATCTTTTAATTGGGGAGTTTAGATCATTTACATTTATTAAGATGACTGATACATTTGGTTTTATGTTGCTGTAACAGAATATCCAAGACTGGGTAATGTATCAAGAAAAGAGGTTTCTTTTGACTCACAGCTCAGGTGGTGGGGATGTTCAAGATTGGGCAGTCACATCTGGTTAACTTCTGGTGAGGGCCTCTTGCTGAGGAATTAGAGGAACAAAAATGGTCCTAGTAAGACTGCTTTGTGATAACATCTAAATTCCCATGGGACAATGTGAAGAGGGCAGATAGCACATGTTTGTGCATGGGTCGAATCATGGGAGAGGGACTCCAATGTTACGGCAATCAGAGCTTATTAGGGCATCTGGCATATCTGTTCCTCTGCTTCTCAGGAGAGGGAAAGAGAGAGCTTGGCTCTGGAATATAAACACATCATCTCTGGAGAGGAAAAGAGAACATATTTGCAGCTTTCCTTCACCACCATGGAATGTGAACAAATGGCTCCAGGGGAGAGGACACTTTAAATCTCTTCAGAGGAATATACAATCTCCAACATTTAAGACATGCTTGCCATTAAATCATCCTTAGTCTAGGTGCTGGATGTAGTCCTTTGCTCAGAAAGTCCTGACTATGCAAAAATGTGAAAAATACTAGTTTTCCATCCTAGTTTTTAATGGCTCTAAATTTCATGGTTTTTTTTTTGAACTTTCATACTTTTTTTAATGTTTTCTGAAGCTGCAGAAATTATATTTAATTAATCATGTATGTTGTATCTTTATTTGTTTGAAACTGTGAACATATTTTTAGTTTGATGGCTTAAACATCACCAGCTCTTTCCTCTACTTTTCACTTAAATTAGTATCCAGAGTTATCCCTATCTTTGTAGACCTCTTTCTGCTTATTAAGTTGTAAACAATTTATGTAAACTATTAACTGAGATATAGTTATTCGTTCTTCTGAGTATTCAAATTGTGGAGACATTTTGGTTTCTTAAAATAAACGTAGAAATGAACAAAATCAAAGGGTTTTTGTTTTTCTATTTTTATCAGATTTCAAAGGTTTTCTCGGTATAGGTAACCCAGGTTTCAAATTGTTTTCAGTGTGACATCTCCTGTCAGTGTTTAGATTCTTTTACAATGCTTCTTTTATGCCCCTAGGTAGCTGAGAATTCCCTGAAAAATAATAAGCATATAAGCTCCTATAACAGCAAAAGTAAATTTAAAAATCAAACAAAATGAACTATATCCTTACCATTTCTGGGCTAAATTCCTCAGTTGTTTTCAGTATTGGTCACCTAAATAGCAGTAGGTAGTCAATTGATGAACTGAACGTTTGTCTTTTTAAATCTTCCTGGAGTTAGGCAGCCAGCTTTTTGGTGCAATGAAACATGGGGACCTAAGTTGATTTTACACGAAAAGAAGATTCTAACTTGTGTCCCGAAACTCTCTTCTTTGGAACTCAATAAATGGGTGCCAATGTTACCTTCTTTTCCAAAGAGATGGCAAAGGAAAGGAGCTATGAAAACTCTCCTGTTCTACATAGAAATATACTCATATAACAAATCACAGTAATTTTATATTTACACAAATTAGTTTTTGTCAACTTTTTACTTTCTCCTATGTTGCTTTTGTATAGTCCATAGAAATCTCCTAATGATAACAGTAATAGCACAATAGGTACAATATTACAACTATGTTGTATGGTTGTTGCTAAGTATGAAATTAGCAAGTAATGTATTTCAAAAAAGAATAAATGTATTATTGCATTATGATAGTGTACTACAGTATTATAATCCTGCATGCTAATTTTTATGTCACTACGGGAACAATTTAAAAATAGAACTATTACTTCAAAAACAGGCTCTAAAATGTATCTTGGAAGATACGTTTATTACCAGACATTGATAATGTATATTCTCACTCAAATAGCATCTCCAGTGTATCAGTACCCCTTCCCTTATCAATGTCCTTAGGTAGATTGAGTACTCCATACAGAGAATGTCATTTCTTACTTTTTCTATATGCACGTTTTTAAATTATTAATTGAATTTAACTACTCAGGTCTATTTTGATATATTACAATTCTAATTTAAAATGAATGTGTAGGTAGAACCTGACTTTAAACTTCTTGCCATTTAATTAGTTTAACAATACTAAATAATGCATTGCTTTTTTAGTTCATAACATATAATATTCAATATTTATTATCAAGTATTCTAAATGTTTTAGAATAAATCATGAAGAACACATTCATCAAGACAAAATGTGACTTAAGGTAAAGGAAAATATATTTTCTTCTTATTGAACCGGGAAATATTTATATTTAAAAATATCAGTAAAGATCTAGAGCCAATAGCCCTATAGTAGCTCCACACCTTAATATTAAATAAAGCACTCATAAATCTATCAATGCCATAAATATCTTTTTAGAAAGATTAAAAAGTATAAAATGTGTGTTCTTTCAATTGTTCAACACCGGTGAATTAGAAAAGCTGGTTGTGCAATTAGCTGCTAAACTTATTGCTGAAACATCAGAATTAGTAGTGATAGCTTTGTCCTAATCTTACCAAGTGAGATGACACAACCATATTTTCTAAGAAACATATTAATAATTCAAAAATATGCATCATTTTACTTTTGAGAAAAAATTCATTTGATTAATATAGGCTAATTTCTTTCAGCAGAGATGATAAGAGAACTAAGATATACACCATGGTAAAACCAGTTTATAAAGCTTTTCAAATAATTCCATTTATAGAGGGATATAAAAGCACATAGTATTCATAAATATACTTACAATTCAAGCATCATTGTTGTACCACATGTTTTGGGTCCTATAAAATGGGGTTTTCTAGGTTAAAGATAGCTTTACCTATGTTTTAATAAAGTTGAACACATGTCATTGATTTAATAAATATTTGTTTGTAAATAAAAACAAGGATACACTTTGGAATCCAAAATTATTTAAACAGGATTTTTGTGAATATTGAAAATTTTTGTCAAATAATTGAGTTTGGGCAAACTGCCTTTACTGTTAAAGGCCATTAATATTTTATTTAATTATTTACCACTGTAGAAATAATAGCAAATATTCAATAGTTTTCACTACTAATTCTGAAACAGAGACTACACAGATTAAAAACAGACAAAAGTCGAAATATTCTCAGGGATACAGGTCACATTGGTAATCAGCAATGATTCAAAATGTAAGAAGAAACACTTAAAAACTTTTGTTTTAAGGGCTTTCTACTGTGTATGCATGTATAAGTAAGCATACGTATACCTACGTACATAAGTATAAAATATACAAAAAAAGTAAATAAATAAAACATAAGTACATGTATATTTTATATAGGCATTCTTATGTGTGATTGTGTGTGTGTTCTTATACATGTGTTCTTTACATGTGACACTATATGGCAATGACAAGAACAGGATAAAGGTAATACCTTTATTTATGAAGAGAAATGTCTATGGAGTTAAAGAAATATTTATCATTTGGAATAACGGAGGGTGAGAAATCCAGGTTAAAAAAAAATGTAGGGAAGAAAAATCACCCGAGAAGAAATGAGTATCTACCTTAAATGGTATCTACCTAAAATGGCTGTTATAAATCTGTCTAGAAGAGAAGCAGAATGGTAGAAAATAAAGAGAAATGATAAAGCACTAAACGGTTTAAAAGTGAATTTTGAAATCAGGCATTTGGAAATCAGACACATTTTGATTTTAGCTCTTGCTTCTTCACTTAGTAGCTATGCATCCTTGGACAATTAGCTTAAGCTTTTTAAAGCTGTGTTTGCACGTGTACAATGGGGATAATAATGATATGTACATCACATTGTGGTGTAGGGAGAATAAATATCATTAGTAAAGTGCTAGTTCATCTCTTGGTAATCCTAAAAGTAGCTTTTCCTCTTTTATATGTAAGGATAGCTTCAGAAAAATAAAAGAAGATGGCCACATATGCACAAACTCATCCCTAGTAAGCATGGACATTTTTTTTTCAATCTGGAGACTAAGCATTTGTCCTCACTACCACTTTTTCTCGCAGAAAATCAGGCAAATTATTTCCGACAAAGTATTTGCCAAAGATTGTAACTACATTCCTACGTTGAAGATATTCTTGACACGAGTATTAAAGAAAACTTTGAAGAATTAGAAGGAGAACTAAAGTTGCAAAGGCTTGGTAGCAAATGACATAGGGTATTATCCATCAAAACAGGTGAATATAGCAACAAGCAAGAGATGAATTTCTTGACTGATAGAGATTTTCAAAGTTTAATCGGGGGGAGAAAAAACCACAAAGATGTTTCAAATATATGCATCATTTTAACATTGAAGAGAAAAATGAACAGAACCTCAAATTATTTTAAAATGTAATAGTTTCCTAGTGATTTGTTGATTTATTCCTCCCAAATTAGCTGTTTGTTTTAGTATTATCTTTTATTAAATTTAAATTCTATTTGTATCATTTCCTCAAGACACCTGACACCAGTTTTTAAACATGATAAAATTTGTCTGCATTTTTATAATTGAAACACATATAGTAGAATGACAGAATTACTTTGTTTAGGCTGAAACTCATGCATTTTCTTTCTCTTTGAAAAATGGGACTTCTCACATTTTAATCATTTTTTTTTTTTTTGGCAAATGTCCTGTATCAGCAACACATATCCACATGCAAATTGTATTAAATTTTCTTTAGTCTTTATCAGCAGAACACTCTTCACTCTTGAAGAATTGAAGGATTATGTTAACTTCTAAACGAGATTCCTGACATTAGCAGGGTTGTGCTGAACAGGTCTTGTCCCTCTCTGCGTTCTGTTCTGTCAGAATATAATTAAGCAATTAGACATGACAGTATGTATTGTAATGTAGAAATAGCACAGATTCTCAGATACGTTATTCAGTACAAGTCTGAATTCCATTAGGAATTCCCCCAAAACAATTCATTTACAAAAATAAAGCGTATACTTAACTGGGAACTGCAACAACAAATCTATGGCAGGACATGTTTAGTAGATGACGGCAATGTTGCAGAAAAGCAAAAACTACATGTTGGTGGTGGAGTTGTTTTTTACAGAAATATTAAATATGGTTTTTGTGCCTCCAGCTATTATGAAAATCAGTTCTCACACTGGAGACACTACTTTAATTCATTCCACATCCAAGTGTGGATTTTCTACAGTTTCATAGGTTTCCAAGTGTACCTTTTAGGTATAATAATATAAATTGCAGTTCTTAAATCTTAAATCATTGGATCTTTTTCTTTGAAGCCTTGATTTTTATCCTGGTAAAAAAGCTATTAAAATATGTATCATTGAATTATGTTCCAAGTATGAATCATAACTAAAATAATATTTTATATGACTTCCCTATCATGCAGATCTGTTAAGAATTTTTAACTTTATAAAATGAATAAATGCATTCTATAACTTTGGTGAGATTAGATATATTTTAACAACATATGTATGTCCAACTTTACCAGCTCCTGAAAAATAGCAGTGTGAAAATTATGTAATATTAAATTATCACGGAGAAAAATAACAGAAGCTTACATATTTAAACATGTAAAACTTTAAATTTAATTATTATATTATATAGTTGCAATAGAAAAGTATGAGTATTGATAAAATATTAAAATAAAACGGCTTCTTTGAAATAAAATATTCTTTTCTGAAACTTCTAAATAATGTTTCCAGTTAACTTATTAAAAATAAAATAGACAAGAATAAAATTTACATTGACTTCAAAATTAGCCAACAAATTCATATCTCTGTGTGTGTGTGTGTGTGTGTGTGTGTGTGTGTTTAACAAGTGTTTATATAAGCATACACGTATTCCTGTACTTGTAGGCTATATATGTCCATATTTGTATATAAATTTATACTCAAGGAGAAAACAGTTTGACTGTGTGTATATATATTTACATATATTACTATGTGTGTGCACAAGTAATATACTACAGATTGAAAAAGATTTGTTAAATATATTTAGGCTAAATAATGTAATAATTCAAGTGCATAGTTATTGTTCATACTTAAGATGAAAATAATCTTCTAAGATCACTGGCTACTAGTGGTGGGACATTGAGTCAGTTACTAAGCCTCTCTGTGTTATGGTTTCTTGGTTCTATGGGGATAATAGTATCTACCTACCTAGAACAGTGACTCCAGATACTAAGAACCAAGACTACTTCATAGGCATTAAACAACAGTACAATCACTAAAAAGAGATTCACGCTTGGAGTTTTATGCTCTCTAGTCATGTCTTGAAATGCTTAATATTTTTCTCTTTGAATTTGTGCTTTGTACATGAAGCAGGATGAAAGAGCAACAAGGATGGGCACTAGAGCCTCTACTGAGGTACAATCGGCCTCTTTCCCATTTCCAGAGATGGGTCCTTGGTCTCTTGCTTCTTCCACGCCTAGAATGAAAACCCTGACTAGCCTCCTCCCTCTCCCTGTCCCCACCCCAGAACTACTAGGGGTCCCCTTTTCCTTCAAGTTGTCTGAGGGTGGGCATAGTGAGGGTCCACGTCAGGCACGTGAGCCAGGCTGCATCAGGATGCCTGGGGAAGGGCCGTGGCCACCCCTCCAGGCTGGCAGCACCACGGTGTATCTGGTCGTCTGCCTGGAAGCCACGTCAGGGCAAGGACTGGCCTCTCTCCTAGCCCGACCAATTCAATGGATCACTTGCAGCTCAGAATTTGAAAGATGCTTTAGGCTTGCCTATCTGCCCTAGGTTGAGGCGGCAGACCTGTGGGAAGAGAAAAGGGCTGGTTCTACACCCTCAGATTTATTTCTGAGCCTAGGTACAGCTGATGAGACCAGCGACTGGTTGGAGGATATTTAAGGCTGGATGTTTTATGGCATGGGCCCATGGGCCTATGCAGATCTGCAACCACCTAGGGAATATATCCATGCCAGGAGTACTTTCTGGTTCTTTATCTGGGAAGAGCCTCTCTTTCTCTTCTAAACCCTCTTGAATCTGGCTTGTGTTTGTCTCTGTTGCTCAGTATGAGGCAACAACCTCCAGCCATGGACTAAGAAAAAGAATTGTGTCATTTCAATAATTCAGCATACAAATACTCTGATATTTTCATTTTAAACTCTCATTGAACAATATAAAGATGAAAGGTAAAATCCATGTTAATAATTTAAATTTTTAATTGCTTTTTTCCTTAGAACAATTAAATAGTAAATAATAATAATAATAATAATAAAACACCATGACAATTTGAGAGAGGGAGGAAAGAGGAAAGGGGAGAGAGAAAAAGAAAGGAAACAAGCTTGTTTGTTTGTTTGTTTGTTTGTTTTAAAGATGAAGTTTCCTTCCTGTTGCCCAGGCTGAAGTGCAGTGTCGCCATCTCGGCTCACTGCAACCTCCTCCTTCCTAGTTCAAGTGATTCTCCTGCCTCAACCTCCCGAGTAGCTGGGATTACAAGAGTCTGCTACCACGCCTGGCTACGTTTTTCTATTTTTGGTAGAGATAGGGTTTCACCATGTTGGCCAGGCTGGTCTCAAACTCCTGACCTCCAGTGATCCATCTGCCTTGGCTTCTCAAAGTGCTGGGATTACAGGCATGAGCCACAGCGCCCAGCGAGGAAACAAGATTTATTTATTTATGTTGAGACGAAGTTTTGCTCTTGTTGCCCAGGCTGGAGTGCAATGGCATGATCTCGGCTCACCGCAACCTCCGCCTCGTAGGTTCAAACAATTCTCCTGCCTCAGCCTCCAGAGTAGCTGGGATTACAAGCATGCACCACCATGCCCAGCTAATTTTGTATTTTTAGTAGAGATGGGGTTTCTCCATTTTAGTCAGGCTGGTCTCTAACTCCCGACCTCAGGTGATCTGCCTGCCTCAGCCTCCTAAAATGCTGGGATTACAGGCGTGAGCCACCGTGCCTGTCCCCAGAAAATAAGTTTAATACATACCTTTAATAATACTTCCTTGCTGCTTTTTGAATAAGAAGCTAGGCATATTCATTTTGCATAGGAGCCCACAGTTTATGTAGCTGCCTCTGATAAGAAACCGTATTTGTCAGCTCTTATTATTATAAAGGCTCTTTTTCTTATTTAGGGCAGATTTTGTGGCAAATTTGCACAATTATTAGCACAATATTTACAGTAAAACTACATACATCTTTCTTTTCAATTTGATTGTTTCAAATTTAACACAATTTTCTTAGTTTTTTATTTCCAATTTAGTGTGAATTAATAAATTCATTGTTGTATACACAAATGTATAGTTGGAGTAATAACATGATTCCCATTTATACTTCTATTGAACACTGAAAGTTGGTGATGAGAAAATGGAAGATAAATATGGAATAAAGCCATAAGTATGCAATGCAAATTATGAATAGTAAATTGGACACATTGATTAGATTCCTAGAAGATGTAATATATTGAATAAAGAAGTCTGTCAACTAAGTTTTTGACAGGTGTCAAATACACAGAACTATTTTTTAAAATGAGATTAAGTAATTGGCAGAATATGCTATGTGCATTTTTTATGTTAAGTATAATTCTGTAACTTTATTAAAATGAAGACTACTTCAGCAATTGATAGTTTTTCAAAAATAAGTTACCTTAAAGATTCATCTCTCTCGTTGTGGTCCATATTCAGTCATGTATTCAAGATTTATTACATGGTTACCTTTATTTTGTAAGACCATAGTATCACTGCGTTCTTTATAATAAAGGACTGATGCATTCCGTGTAGGTTGAGGATAAAAGGCCATACTTTTTCTGTATTTTTAATATGGCCATGTGAAAGAATCAATTGTTTTGCTGCTTAGAAGTTTAACATTAATATAATAGGAAGATTTGTAGATATGGGCTCAAAATCTTCTTGAGTTAAAGTTGCCACCCAAAATCTTACGATGTAGGTGACTTCAGGAAGGAAATTAACATCTCTGAACCTCAGTTTTTATAATTGTCACATGGGGATAATAACACTTACTGTGTGGTACATAGAATGTGGGAAGCTATATAAAAAATAGTAAATAGGAAAACATTCTCTACACTTTGATAGACTAATCAAATGAAAGTTTCACTAACATTAATGGAATGACTTTCACTGTGGCTTGATTTGTACATATCCAGAAGAATAACATTAGTAGCCCAGTATGCTTCTATGACAATTTAGTGTATGCCAATCATTTTACATTTATCAGTTTCTCTCTTTGCCATTGGTATGTGAGTGGCAGAACAGTTATCTATATTAGATCTGTGAGGAAACTGGGTTACAAAAAGTGAAAATATTTGCCTGAGATCATAGAATCGTTGAGTTTCAGAAGTGGAAAAAGTGAATATGTACTCTAACTTCCTCATTTTGCAGATAAGAAAACTGAAGCCCTGAGAAAATCAATGAATGCTTCATGGTATATTGAAAGGGCAATTACATTACTACATGTTTTCATCTGGTCATTCTTTTTTTCTTTCTTATTCATCCAGTCCTTATAATGATAATAATTCAATTATGTAGTATCTTCTTCAGTGGAAACAAAGCTTATCAATCAACCAAATAAAATTATGATATATGTTGGTAAAGCACAAAAAATAATATTCATAAGTTTAAATTTTGTATTCATTCACTCATAACAAAAAAGTAAACAAATATAAGACTTGCTGTCAATTTTAAGAAGTGCCATAAAGAAAATTAATCAGTTGTCAAGACATGGAACAAAGGGATAGAAGGAAATAAAGTTGCTCATTTAAAATGGGTGGTTGGAGAAGGCTTCTTTGATGAGGTGTCATTTGAGTTATTTTGGATGAAAGGGTTAACCATAAAAAGTGAACTTTAAGTAGAAAAACAGTTATTGAAAAGATAAGATACTTTAATTGTATTTGAAATGCAATGGAAAGCTATGGAAGGGTTATACATAGAAAAATATCATGGTGCGTTGTACATTTTTAAAGGATCAGTAGACAATGATCAGAGGAAGCAGGTAAAATAAGAAACTATTGGAGTAGTTCAGATGAGAGGTGATGGTGACTTGGTGTGTATGTCTGATTGTGCAGCTTGTGTACTGCACACCTCTAGGTGGTGCCATTCTCCTAGACTGCAAAGTGTATGGTCTCCTAAAGAGTTGTACAATTAAAACCTGTAAAACTGTACACAATGATGCTGTTTACAGGGGCCGGGGGATGCAGCAGTGGTAAATGGACAGAATTGGCAGAACCAATACATACAGCAGAATAACTTATGCTTTTAATTGTATGGACATTGGTGGGGAGAAATGGGAGAATTTATATCTCTTTTACAACTTAGCAGATATTGGTGCTATTACATAGCTCTTGAATGCTTCTATAATTTCCTTTCTATATTCATTGTTTTCATAAACCATTGAATACATTATAAAATCCAATTGTTAAAATGGTTTCTAAATTTTTTAGAAGCCCTGGACTAATTTTTGCCATATGGATATGAAATGAATTTCATTTGTTAACATGAAAAAATTCTATAAAAGATTAGCTTAACAAATTGGAAACAATATGATCTTTCAAAAATTCAAGCTATACACAGTAAGTGGTCAATAGCTATTTATTGATGGTGATGATGTTGTCTGCCCTTTGAAGGGCTGTTAATAATACAATGCAAACAATGTGCTGTTAAAATCACTTGAATGGGTTATTTAATAATATGATTAGACTAATTTACTGCAAGATTGAAATTCTTATCTGGCATTAATATGGACACTAGACTAGGCCTTGAAAAGAGTCACATAATACACAGTACATTTTTCAGAAGATTTGCTTTTGTATATTCATGTAATTTGGCATTGAAATATTGGTTTAACCTATTATTGAATTCAAAATGTTGTGATTTCAGGCCTTCTCTATCGAGAAGTCACTTTTTTTTTCTTCCCAACAAAGCAAAACATATTGGTTCTTTGTAGGGTTTAACATATTAACTTGGTCTTAGAGGACTGGTATTTTAAAAAGGAAAACAAATAACTTCATTGTAAGGAGAATCTTCAGGGCTCTCTTTGAGAGGATTGGCAATTCATCCAATATTTTACTGCTGTCACTCTGTAATCTGTTGATTGGTGTTCATAATTCTTCACAGAGATATTGTAAAGATTAATGAAACAGAGTTTGTAAAGTATTTTATCTCCACAAACGCTAGTTCTGTGAGCTGAACGTTTAGAAGCCTCATTATACACAGGCTATACCGTGCCAGAACTCTTAAACTGTTAGTAAAATCTCTTAAGTGTTGTTCTTTATCATTGCTGTCTCAATAATGCAGGGCTGTGCCTATCATATCAGTTTTTGTCTCTTCAGGACTGTTTAAGCGTACTACTATTGATACTTGACATTTATCAGAGTTACAGTGATCCTTTTAAATTTGGAGGGTATAGAATTTGTATTTTATCTTTTAGTGTCGTCTAATAATGTCAAGCTCTATATAAGCACAACCCAGAATTACATAAAGAGCAATGCTCTTTAAAGTCTAGCCTCTGTATCATGAACCTCCCAAAGGTTTGCATTAAAAAATAATGCAGTATGTTCCTCTCCCCAAACAGCTTCAAAGTATAGAAAGCTTAATTAAAATGCCTAAAAGGTAGTACCTCATATCAACGCAACTTCTTGCATCATTAATTCCATAATATAATTTCTTCTGGAAAAAATCTTTAATTTCTAGAAGAAAGCAAACATAAACTTTCTTCATATTATTTAAGTCTACCTTGGAGTAGAAGGGATGAAGCATAGAGAGGTGAGGGAATTCTAGAGTAACCAAACAAACACTATTATTGTGAGTGATAGGGGAAGTGGTTGGATCCTCACTCACAGTTGCTCATAGGTTTCCAGGAACGGTCATGCTTAGGAGGGAATCAATACCACTGAGAAGATACCAAAATACACAACAATGTTCAGTCACTTACATGATAATGTTTCTTCGGAGGAGGAAATTTAAGCTAATCTTGTATAAGTCTCATTTTTGTTGTAAAATTTGATTTTTCTTGCTATGGTTGGAAGAATGCAATAACATTGTATGTTCTGAAAAATGTAGCTCTTTCAATTGTGTCATACAATTCATATAATGTATTTATTTGGCTTTATGATGTAAGAAATGTCGTCCTATTTCAAATAAAGAATTTGTGTAACTTTTTTGTAGTTTTCTGACTTGTTATACACTTGACAAAATATTTTCTAACATAAGAGTTTCTGATATATATATACATATCAGAATATGTATGTATATATTCCTTTCCCCAAACAGCTTGCATATATATGCATGTGTGTGTGTGTGGGTGTGTGTGTGTGTATACCTAAACAAACTGAGGAAGAAAAGGTAGTGAAGAAACTGGGGGAAACAAGATGAGACACATAAAAATAGATATAAAATGTGAAGATCTATAGCCATCCTAATTTTGTTATACTTTAAAATAATGCCTTTATTGTAGTCAAATGTTTGTGTTTAATAAAGATATATTTTTAAAATACAAACTGTCATTTTAATTAGAAAGTGATCATGTTGCTTATATTTTAAACCACTATTCATGCTGTAATCATCTTTTAAATAATCAAAAACAAAGACTATGTTTCTATAGTACATTATCTTAAAAAACAGTCTATGTTTAATGTGACTACCTGCTTTTTGTGAGAAGAAAACATTTTATGGACATGTCTTTTTAGTGTAAATTTAGATAAATTTATTCTAAATAAAATATTTTTATAAATACATCTATATTTCAAATTACAACATTATCAACTACCATTTACAAAGATCTTTGATTGCTTGTAATCCTCAGATTTAGTTAAATTAAAAGGACTCAGTGTAAATAAATAAATCCTCATAAAAGCAATCCAGATACAAAATTCTGTTTTCTTTTGATGAAATATTCTACTTACATTTACTATTTTAAAATATGTATTCTAAAAGCATTTTGCAATAATATAAATTTATGTTTCATTTTTGATAAATTTCCTGTAAATCTTAAAGTACGTTTATCATGATAGCAGTATTTGAAGGGACCCTATATCAGGTATTCCAAAATGCTACTTTCCAGAAGTTTTCTACCAGGATAAGTGGGGAATAATTTAAGGATTAAAGAAACTGAGTGATAATTTCTGAATATCGCTACAGGACAAATAACTGAGAGTTCTCTTTGAGTATGATCACTGGTAACGAAATTTGATGATGTATCAAAGGATAGTTTTTAAAAGCTGACAATAATTTAAAACCTTATAAGCTTGCAAAAGTTAAAAATCAACTTTTACTAGTTAGAATATTCGGCATTCTATCGGTAATATTGAAGATTTGTAACAATAAGTTTGACTCTAACAGGATTCTGAAAACGAGACTGTCAGAAAGGGGAAAAGCGCCACCTATTGATCCGAATATGCAAATTATGTACTGGTTTTTGAAGTAGCTGTGTAAAGCAAAAGAATTTTGGAGCTTTGCTTTGGAGCAAAAAAATTTACTAAGTTGAAAACTTAACTCCTTAATATAAAATTACTTAAGTCATAGTCATTCTCCAGAATATGATCTTTCATTTAAGGGTATATTAAATACGTCTTGAAACACAGTATTTACTGGCCTTCTTATTATGTTATCTTTGTAAGCAACAAATCACAACCCTCTCAGCAGTGTGTTTGATGAATTTTCTACTGAAATTATGAAACATAGGCATATTTTTAACTCAATAATGAAAGTTGTAATTAGAATGAAATTAGTCTTCACAATCCTGAGAAACTTGTGTTAAAAAACAAATTTTAGTTTAAGAGTCAGATGTGGTCAAATATGAACCATTTGACATGACATCATGCATGTAGCCTAATAAATGGTCTTAATATATGTAATTATAAATAGTCATTAGTTACATATTTCACTTTAGAATCTTAGAGCTTGATAATGAATAGTTAATTCATTGAGTGACATTTCAACAAATTGTGTTGAAATTCATGGACCATGTAGGCTGAGTGAAAAGGTAACTGTTATTATTTTAAAATAAGATTTTATGTCTTCATAGAATTGAGAAAGATTGACCTTCACATGAGATATCTCTATTCTTCTACTACATCTCCAATATCAATAGAAAACTGTTTTTAACTTACACAAGAGTGTCTTTTATCCTTTCAATGCATGGAAGATTATCAGGCTTAAATCCTGAACATATCTACAGGCTGAAACTGCCCCCAATCTCTGAAGTTATAGGGAAGCAATTTGGAGTAACATTTTAGAATAGTTCTTGCTCAGCAAAATGTTAACTGTAAAATCACTTAGCCTTCAAAAAAGAAACAATACTCTTATGTAGTTGAAGGAATTACAGAATTGTAAATACTGCTAATTAGATTAAAATGTGCTAAAAATTCCCATCAAATATGATTTCATATGCGCAGTATTAACTTACAAAGAAAGGCGATGTCCAAATTTCCATATTTTCCAAAGATGATGTATAAAGATTAGAGTTTGTGTATCTGTTTTACTAAAACGTAATTATAATGCCTCCATTTTACTAGCTTCACTGTGAAACTTTACAGGTTATCTTTGTTCTTTTCCAGATCAATAAGGTTACAGCAGATAACTATTAATATATTTCTTTGCATCCGCACAGTGAAAATTTTAAATATTAAAACGAAATATTGCAGCCCATATATCATCTACTCTTTACAAGACAGGAATGACAGTATTAAGATGCGCATTCAGGATAGCACTCTTTCTACTTTGAACGCTGTCAAGAACAAAGTGCTTTACAGACTTAAAATAAATCTAGGTACTAATCCATTGAATTTCTGACAACAGGAGCCCAAGGTTTCCATGCACTTAGCTGAGTACTGCATAAGAGCTTGTGCATTATTTATGTCCACTAATGGTGTTGCAATGCGCTTTGTGTGAAGCAGTGACAGTGCAATCTGCTAAGATAGCTGCTGCTGTGGACAAAGCCATACATTTTCTTGAGCTTGAATTTTTGACAGAATACTCTATTAATGCCAATTCTGCTTAAGTAAATGCTGAACAGGGGTCAGTTTTTCCTTTTTCCCCTTTTCTCTTATTATTTAAGAAAACAGTGCCATAAAATTGAAAATGATGTTCTAAGGTTTACTGAATTTTTCAGTACAATAGTGGCCGGTAAAGGTCACTCTACTTTTTTGTCTACATTTGTGATTTCATGTGATGGTCCACAGACTCAATAGGAAAGCTCTTAGCACTGGAAAAGGGAGGTGCTATTAATCCCAGTTTCAGTGCCATTATACTCTTCAGTGGATCAATAGAATTAAATGAGCTGAGATATTAGGAAAATATTGAAAAAAGCAGGAGGGCTGTATTGTTTGACCAGGGTTGGGATGAGTTGAAAATAAAGAACCATCTAAAGCAGCTGTCAATAAATCATGAAAACTATACTCTGAACCAAATGGAATACAGCATGAAGCCTCAAACTTTAAATGTCCATAATATCTGTTGTGGTTTTTTTAATTAAACATTTTATTTGAAATATCCTTTGCAGTTCTCTTTTTTCAATCACATATTTTTTAGAGAAAAAAATGTTCTTAAGCTGATATTTAGACGAGGGAAGTTCCACTCATAAATTACAAAATATATTTTGGTATATGAAGCACATTATAAAAGAAGTGGAAAGAGATTTCAAATATTGAAAAATGAAATGCAAAATTATTTTCACCTCTGAACATCTCTATTGGTCTCTCTCTCTCTCTCTCCTTCTCTCTCTCTATATATGTATGTATATATATATGTGTATATATACATATATATATATATATATACTTCTTGCATTATAGATATATGGCAAATTTTTCTCTTTATTGTGGCAATATTTTACCATTTAATTAAACAGTAATATTAAACAGTAATAAGTCAATACATTCTAGTCTTCTTAATAGCAAACATAACTTGTATTTTCTTTACCTTAGCCAAGAATAGGTATATGTTACATTGAACACTAATAATATAATGGTTTCTTCTTTGAACAAATAAGAGTAGTAAAGACTTATCAATTCCCACTAAATGAAATTGGAAGCCCTAGATAAAGGTTTCACAATCATATGTTTAATTCTTGGTTATTAAGCCTGATCAGATGTGGCCACATTGTAAAATTATCTTGCAGCAAATAAATTTAGGATATTGTACCATCTTTATTTTCAAAGCTAATCTCTAAGAAAGATCTTTACTTGAGAAAAATATTTTTAATCTCCGAATAATGTGATGGAGACTGCAAACTGTTTATTTAAATTTATGTTCTCTTCATCCTGGACATACCAGACTATGTGTTCCTTCCTCCCTTGCTGTTAGGTGTGGCCATTTCTAGAAGAAAGAATGTGAGAATGAGTGGCATAGCGCATTTCTAGGCTGAGGCGTTCAAAAAGTGGCCTTGCCCCGTCTGTGTCTTCTTTCCTCCCCTATGAATGAGTGCAGATTATAGGGATTATAGAAATAGTAGGGTTACAAAAAGCAAGAAGCATGGACACCGGAATAGCTGCAAAGAATTGCTGCAAATTGGGAACACGTGCCTGTGTGGTGAAGCAAGCAAGAATGATCATCGATGATGTAGGATTCATGATACCTATTGGGCCTATTTATTACCACTGCTTAGGCTTCCCAAAACAATAGAGATATCATTAAGTAAGGGTCAGTAATTTTTGACACGTAATGGCTGTCAAAGATAAACACACTACTGACTAGAGCACAAGAATTGCTTTTCACTTCTCTTCCACCTTTTCAGATTGACCTATATGTAGCACTCTAGTCTATAGTCTGTTTTGCTTTTGACGATCTAGAGGATGACTTCTCACAAAATGAGAAATTGTACTTAAGATGGCCCCAAAATGAGTTTAATTCGATACTATCCTTATTCAGTTGTGTATATCCATTGCTAGTAGAATACAACTTCATGTGACTATCCTGCATAAAAACAATATTCTTATTTTAATGAACTATTTTATTGCCTCAGAAATTATGATTCTATCCCTTGAGCAAAACAGAGAAGTTTTTATTTCCCTGACAACAACTTTTGCATATGGAGCACAAGATGGAATATTGAGAAAATTCAATAAGGATTTGGGGTCTCACATGATCTGTCTGACTTCATGTTGATACAGTCTAAGCTCTATTAATTATTATTATTGTTACTATTGAGACTGAGTCCCCTTCTGTCTCCCACGCTGGAGTACAGTGGCATAATCTCTGCTCACTACAACCTCTGCCTCTCAGGTTCAAACAATTCTCCCTGTCTCAGCCTCTCGAGTAGCTGGGATTACAGATGCCCGCCACCACATCTGGCTAATTTTTGTATTTTTAGTAGAGATGGGGTTTCACCATGTTGGCCAGGCTGGTCTTGAACTCCTGACCTCAGGTGATCTGCCTGCCTTGGTTTCCCAAAGTGCTGGGGTTACAGGTGTTACATCACGACCAGTCTAATCTCTATTGATTTTTGATAAGAATTCTACAAGTTGCTAAAGAAAAATTGCTTAATGTGAATGATCTTAGAACATGATACTAACTCTCACTGATCCATCTTAAATTGAAGACCAAATCTGAAGGGACAGATTGAACCTTTAGGAGAGAAGATCAATTAGATAAATCAGAATTGTTATTTAAAACAAGTTTATTTTTCCTTCAGTTTTAGAAAACAATAATTGTATAACAGAAAAGTAAGCCCTAAATTCCCATCTCCTCAACTTCTTCCCTCAATCCCTAATATTCTTTTTGTATGTACATCCTCAGTCAGTCCATATGTACTTCTATACAAATGGTAAAATTAATTTTTAGTATACATTTACATAAGTTGTCTTATGCCATATTTATAACATTTTCAGATTTCTAATCATGAACATTTAATGCATATTTGTAAAATAAATGAACAAATTTATAAAATAATATTGGCATGAACAAGAGCACTTGGGTCCAAAGAGATTTTGCTCCCCTATGAAGTTTAACCCTTAAACTTCCATATCTCAGAGTACAGAGTCAGCTTAACATCTTAAACCTAGTTGTTAATAGAATGAAATATATAAATTTCTAACTGTGTCTTTTTTCAGTCTGAAACTCTGCAACAAAGTGGAAACTAAGGATACAAGCATTCCTGTGCCCCTAATAACTTCTAATGTGATACAGCAACTGTCAGTCTTCAGAATGAGGAAATATTATTATCCCCCTTTACATTAGCCGAATTTCCAGACTTATAGATACATTAGGTAGATTCCAAAGAAAGAGGAACTTTAGGAAAATTAAGCAGAGTCTTAGAATAATTGAGATTAGTTAAGATTACCTAATTTGTGAGCAGGAAAAGCAGAACATGACTGTCATAAATTAAACAGAACATGATTGTCATAAATTAAAGGTGACATTTATTGGAAATACACTAGAATATTTTACAGATTAAAGGAAGAGTTGAATAAGAGAGATTTGAGAAGCAAAGAAGCCAGAAATAAACAGGGTTCTGGCAACAATTCATGAAGATTTTACCAAAGTAATATTGTTGGTCATGTCCCATTATTGGTTCCTGAATTCTCTTTAGTGGACTATGAGCAACACCTAAAATAATAGTATGCAATAGAAACTACAAAGCTATAATTCCCAGGGTAATTATTGACTTGTAAAACATTAATTTTTTTCTGAATGTATTTCTGTATACTAAGTCTGTTGTGTTACATATTTCTTACTGTGGTCTCAGTAAAAAATTTAAAAGTCGGAGGCTCCAAAGCACTGCATTTGATGTAACTCAATTTCACTGTATTCTAAATACCAAGTTGCTTGGGAAAACATTTGATTAATTTATCTTGGGCCATATGTCTTCCCAAATGTATTAATTCAAGCATGACTATGTATACAAAGTCCAATAATATGGACATGGGGGTGGCTCCTGAATTTCCCCCCATCCCCAGGATAGGTAGATTTTCCAAAAGATCTAATTTACTCTATTTGTTAAATTCATGGACTTTGATTTTATGAATTATTGAGATGATGATTATTATTACAATCTGCATTGTTCTTGGAATATCAAATCTATGGAACAAAATTGCTCTCTTCAAATGTGCATTTAATAACTGGGAGAATAGAACCATGGGTATATAGCAATGGTTAGAGTAACTTATTCAGTTACTGGAGTAGGAGAGATCACACTCTTCTTGTATTAAGTGAAAGGTAATGAAAAATACATAAATGCTAAGCCTCTATTTTGTTTTCCTGAAAGGGTCTTAGAGTGTAGCTAAACTCAAGAACATCTGGAATCTTGTGGTTGGAGATAAGAGTTACATTGCAGACTGAGAAGTGTGATGGGCAAACTATTTCCACCTATCTGCCTCATGATAATCAATAGATAATTAACAGGTTAAATTAATATGGTGTCAGTACTGGTTAAATCTACATGGAAGAATAAGCTGACATTATAAAAATTATATTCTACAAAATTATAGAAAGTTTTAAATGATTTAAAAATTCAAACAGGCAAGTCAAAATAGTAGAGTATGATCATGTTTTTAAAACACATATGTATGTGTGTGGTGCAGAAATATGATATAAATATGCAATCATTATTTAAAATGATGCAATTGTGCTTAAAACTTATTTTGCTTATGTCTGTTATAACCAAATTTTCTACAGTAAACACCTTCGTAGAGTAAGAAGAAAGACAATTTTACTTAAAACCGTATGTAAACCATACATATAAAATTGTGTGTGTATATTTATTTTATTTAATTGATAGCTTGAGTGGTCTTTAGAAAGCAACTAATTCAAAACTCAAAATAGAGAAATTAAATGATTTCCTCAAGCTCAAGCAGCCCAGAGATGACAGATTCTAATGCATGTCTTTACCTCTAGATCCTAAGTCAAGTACCTTTCAATTCTGCTACATATATAATATACATTTTCAAAATAAAGTTGTTGGGTATGTGAGGGTAAAGACTTAAATAATTGTTTTAAAAAATAAGTACAATTATGTTTTGCCTTTTAAAATTTAGACCTCATTGCTAATTGCTTTCAACGTTTTCTGTGCACTCAATTGCCACTTGTCCACTTTGTCCATATAACATCCCTTCTTTTGGTTTGTAAGAATCAGTTAGAAGAGCTGTCAGTCATGGTGACCAGTGGGGAAACTCATGCCAAATTTACAATAGCAACCCAACAACGTTATATCTAAGCCACACAATTAACATTGGGTGCTATTCTAAATATCCACGTTAAAAATCTTTTTTTTTTTTTCCCACGGAGTCTCGCTCTGTCGCCCAGGCTGGAGTGAAGTGGCGCGATCTCGGCTCACTGCAAGCTCCGCCTCCCGGCTTCACGCCATTCTCCTGCCTCAGCCTCCTAAGTAGCTGGGACTACAGGCGCCCGCCACCACGCCCGGCTAATTTTTTGTATTTTTAGTAGAGACAGGGTTTCACCGTGTTAGCCAGGATAGTCTCGATCTCCTGACCTCGTGATCCGCCCTCCTCGGCCGCCCAAAGTGCTGGGATTACAGGCATGAGGCACCGCGCCTGGCCAAAAATCTTTAATGTCATAGTTGAATCTGATCCCTAGTAAAATTTAAATGAAGTTAATTGGAATGTATTTATTAAGCCATAACCCAGACCTTGTAACACCAGGGCCAAATCCATAGATCTGGGAAAATAGAAAAGTAAACTTGGAATTATAACTTAATAAAACTTATTTACATAAACCTGTATCTCTAGTAATATATAGCAGATGTGCTAATGTGTCCTAAGATAAATGCGTAATGGACAAAGATAACATTTTCTCCCTAACAACATTTTATTTCTTTCACCTGCTCATCTTTTATGCACCTGTGTCTTGTTGGCAGTTTGCTCAGCTTGAATTTGGAAGACGTAAGTATCAACAAACTATATAACTACTATTTCCCCTTGTATGTTTAAAATTGTTCATAAAATGTTTGCATAGAGTTCATGAGCCCTTATACTTATAATAAGAGTGAAGTTTCTGAGCGTTTATAGTTTTTCTTGGGTTGCCCGATTTTTTCATGTAAAAGAGGAAAGAAAGTTAAAAGGATACCTAGTATGAGGTAGTATGTTTTATAGTTTTAAAAATGCTTTGCAGCCAGACGCCTTGGCTCACGCCTGTAATCCCAGCACTTGAGGAGGCCGAGGCGGGTGGATCACCTGAGGTCAGGAGTTCTAGTCCAGCTTTGCCAACATGGCGAAACCGCGTCTCTACTAAAAATACAAAAATTAGCCCTGCTTCGTGGCGGACGCCTGTAATCCCAGCTACTCGGGAGGCTGAGGCAGGAAAATCGCTTGAACCCGAGAGGTGGCGGTTACAGTGAGCCGAGATCGTGCCATTGCACTCCAGCCTGGGTGACAGAGGGAGACTCCATCTCAATAAATAAATAAATAAATAAATAAATAAATTATAAAATGCTTTGCTTTTGCTGAGTTTGCATTTTTTGGGATATATTCCATTTTTTTAAATCTTACTCTCAGCAACTATGATTTTAGGACACCTTCTTTTGTTCAAGAGAAGAGCGAGATCAGATTTTTTTTTATTGGTTGTAAATCTTATTATTCAATTTCACAGTTTTTATGCTTATGAAGTGAGTAATGTTTTCTGTCCAGTAGCCTAGGTCCAGATTATCTAACTCTTAGAGGAAAAAAATAGTTTGGAAAAATATGATTTTTTTCTAGTCATAAATCATGCTCACTTGGGGATAAGTTAAATGTTGTCATTGGGTTCTACCTATTTATTCACATATGTAACCTGAATTTTAGTATTAAAATCTGAGCTAACAGCAGTATTAAAACTGCATGAAGAAACTATATTAATCTTTTTTTTCAGATATATGTCTAATTTGAATCTTGGAAACTAAATGAAATATAACTACCAAATTGAAAACACCAAAAGGTAAGGTATCAAGTAAACTTCTGAATAGAGCAAAAATAACTTGTATTATTAGTCATGGAAAATAAATGGCAGAGGGCAACTTTGTTGTTACTTTTTATTATATAACAGGATATTGCATGACACATTTGCATGAGCCATTTCTACATAGAATATAGAAAAAAATGAAGTTATATAATATTATACATGATGTGATTTATTTGCTAATAATATCAGGTTAGATGCGCTATAGGGAAAAGAATATATTCAATAATCAAGAAGAGTAGAACATGGTTATACATTGAGAGAATCGACTCAATAAATATCTATTGACAGAAGAAAGAGAAGGAGTGAGAAAGAGAGAAGGGGGTGAAAGAAGGAAAGAGGAGAAGGAAAGGAAGAAAGAAAAAGAGAGAAAGGAAGGGCAGAACAAGTGATCAAGAAATAATCTACATATTCTAGGAACAAAAATAAATATATCTGAAAATAAAAAAAACAATAATAATCTACATCGAAAGGGGTTTTAAGACATCATGGTTACTTTCTTATATCATAACCATTTCTCCTATAACAATTCTAAAAGAAAAATTATTTTATGAGAAGCATTCTTTTTCTGGAGTTTTTTTATATATTAGACAGAATTTTCTGACCTCTGATTTTAGTTTCCTTAGCTTGTTTTAGTCCACTTTTTATTTTTATTTTATTTGTGACACTGCTGAGTACCACCTGGTTCCATTTTGTCATCTGAAGTTGGACTAATTTTCTTGGCCCAACCAATCTTGAAAATATTTTCAATACCTGATGTCACAGGCTTATTTCTACCATTTTGTCCACACCTCTTTTCCTACATTATCTTTTGCCCTGCTGTTTATATATTTAATATATGTCTTTTTGCTCAGAGTATAGACTTAATTCTCTGCAATCATAAATCCCATATGATTATTTATTAGTTTAATGATTCCACATTTCTAGATAATTTTATAAAATAATGCTAAACTTTTCAACAGTCTGTTCTTCAAAATTATAGATAACTCAAGCACTGTAATAATGATGCATTAGTACTTTCTAATAAAGATATAATTAATAATTAATAAGATGTTTCTACCTAATTTATAAATTATTTTAAGGTGAAATTTAAATCAGTGTTACAAGTTTTTTGTTCAGATGAACAAGATGTAAGATCTATTTTCATTCATTCATATTTTTATTTAATTTCTACTGTGTTGCAAAGGACCACAACAATCTTTGTAAACAATGTTAAAACTCCAGTAAGTTTAAATAAGGAAACAAAAATAATTATGGCCAAATTTTCCTTTGCAACTACAGTCATGTATCACTTAATGGATATACATTCTAAAAAATGCCTCACTAGGCAATTTCATCTTTGAGTGAAAATCATAGAGTATACTTTCACTAGACCTACTGCTAGCCTAGATGGTACATGGTATAGCCTACTACTCACCTAGACTTTCTGGAATAACCTTTTACTCCAGAGTACAAACCTGCACAGTGTGTTACCATACTGATTACTGTAGGCAATTATAATCCAATGGTAAGTATTTGTGTATCTAAACATATCTAAACATGGAAAAGGTACAGTAAAATATGGTATAAAAGATTAAAAATGCTATTCCTCTATAGGGAACTTACCATTAATGGAATTTGAAAAACTGGAAGTTGCTCAGGTGAGTCAGAGAGTGAGCAGTGGCTGAATGTGAAGGTCAAGGACATTACTACACACCACTGTAGACTTTGTAAACACCATACACTTAGACTATGCTAAATTTATCTGAAAATGTTTTTTTCAATAAAAACTTAAACAGCATACTATAACTCTTTTACTTTATAAACTTTTTAGTTTTTTTAAACTTTTGATTCTCTTATAATCATTTAAAACACATATTGTATGACTGTATAAAATATTTTTTATATCCTTATTCGATAAACTTTTTGTTTAAAACTAAAACACAAATGCACACATCAGCCTAATCCCGCACAGGGTCAGGATCATCAATATCACTGTCCTTCACCTCCACATCTTGTCTCACTGGAAGTTGTTCAAGGGCAATAACACACATGTAGCTGTCATCTCCTATGATAACAATGCCTTCTTCTGAATCACTCTTGAAGGCCCTGCTGGAGGCTGTTTTACAGTTAATTTTTTAAAAATAAAAGTAATAATATACACAAAATAATAGTAAAAACTATAGTACAGTAAATACATCAACGAGTAGCATAGTCATTTATTATCATTATCAAATATGCAGTGTACATAATTGTATGTGCTATACCTTTATATGACTGGCAGTGCAGTATGTTTACACCAACATCACCACAAACATGTAAGTAATGCATTGTGCTATGATATTATGTCATTAGGCAATAGGAAATTTTCAGCACCATTATGATCTTCTAGGACCACCTTTCTATATGGGATCTGTTGTTGATGGAAGAATTCATTATGAGGTGCATTACTATATTTGCTACTCATTTAACTGAACACTTTAATTTTCATAAAATGTCATAACCTCTTTGTAAAGAAACTGTTAATTATTTACTCAATACAATTCAACTAATAAGTGGTAGAGTCAGAATTCAAACAAAACTACAATGACTGGTATTCCCACTATTTAACTTAATTTAATGAAAAGAAAAAATAATAAATGTTTACAAATCTCTAAAACACAGGAAACTGCCCCATCATTAAAATGACTGTTTAATTTTCTGTTAGAAAAATTGATAGCTCCTAATATATTTCAGAGTTTGAACCTTGAGATCCAATAGGCTTGAGTTCAAATCCTGCCTCCTCCTCCTATCATATGGATTTTTTAAACCTAATCCTTTGACCTCATTATACTCCGGTTTTCTTATATATACAACTAGAAAAAAATGATGAAATGAATTGGAAACGTGGTGTCTGACATATGTTACATGTGTAAAAATGTATCTAATCATTATTATTTTGATTTGAGACTTAGATTTTTCGGAATATAAAAAAAGAAACTGACCAATAGGCAAATGTCTTTACCCTTCTCTTACTTTCTTACACATGCTTCTACCAGAAGGAAAAAATACTATATTTATGTGGCCATTGACTTACACATTCCTGTAAACAGGATTTATTCTTTCTGAACTGTAGATAATCTTTTTACATCTGATACATTATGAATAATATAAAATGAATTACCATGTCTGCATCCTTCCCCTCCATTCCTAGACAGATAAATTCAGAGACTTATATAAACCACATATACACATTTTTATGCTTAGATGTTATAATCCAAACCCCTATAAATGTCAGTTAGTTTGACTCAACTAATTAGAGAGGGTTAAATAACAAGCAGAAAAGTAACAAGAAATCTCACTTATCACCTGGTTATTTTATTCAGATTCTAGAAACACTCTAGCATCAACAGAGTAAATATTAGCAGGAATTAAATTTTTCCCATAAGTGTAATATTTAATCTTATCACAACATACTGTCTATAGAATTTCATAGTGCATCTTGGTAGAAATTTGGCAAACAACTTTGTTAGAAGTAGTTTTGTGTTCACCATGTTCATTTTTCATGAGGTTTCCAAGGCAAGAGGGGTTACAAGCTTGACTAACTCACAACCAGCAGAAACTTTATTGCCATTCTTTTTTAGTAGTTTTAACTGGTAGTTATCCCAGAGGGATGTACACTAAAAGACAGATGTTGGTTGATTCTTTTTCTTTTATCTTCCTTTTCCTTAGGCTAGAAACTTTTCTATTTATTAATCAAGAGTAACACATATGCTGACTAATTACTACTCAGAGATTCTAAAACTGGATACCTTTTATTATTTTATCTCCTCAAATTCTTTCTGTTATATTCAGAAACAGTAAACAAGAGGCATGATCTTATAATTTAGCTTAGCATAAAATAGCTTATGTCTTTTGAACTGGCTAGCAGAGTACCTAATTTTTTTGTCTTCAAATGGTGACTTTTGTATTATTAAAATAAATGTCCTCTGATTTATTTAGCTTAATATTCCCATTTCCTATTTTAATTTCACCTTCATATCCAAGAGGAAGAATTCTTAAGAAATTTGATTCAAAATATGGAAATAAAAATGGTAATGTCATAAAATGTTAGAAATTTTATTATTTTTAGGTGAGACAGAGTATTTATTCCTCGGCAGCAAACACAATGTTTCTCATTTCTCAACCAAAGAACATTTCTCCATCAACATAGGAAACCTGTACTTTTCCTTCCTAAGATGAAACATTCACATGAAACACTGAACAATAAGAAAGAGGATATTCTAAATGATTAGAAAATTTAAACATTTTGGATATGATTGTAAAGTCAGGAGTGTCTCAAAATATCTAACACTGCTCTACTCTTCCATAATAAAAATAACATTATTTTTGACATGAAAGCTCAAACAACACACACAAACCAAAACTCTTGTGCTTTACCTAGGAGAATCTCACTTGCAAAAGGTATGTAAGATAACGCTAATAACTAGAAAGTGAAAGTCTTTTTAATTGCACAAGTATTTGCCTTAAAATGAATTTACATCAGAAATATTTCTTTGATTCTATGCTTAATGAAATATAGAACACAGAACATTTTCAGAATTAGATCTTATATATGTGTATATATATACACACATACATCATGTGTATATATATGTATTATATTACATTATATTATATTAAAATTTATGGCAGGTTATATGAATTTTTAAAAGGAATTATTGATAAAAAATGGTTCAATATTTTTCTTTATAGTATAAATCCTAAAATATTTTTACTGTTTGTGCTGTAAACATTATACAATAGCTATATACTTATGAGAGAAAACATATTTTATGAGATATAAAGCGGTTGATAATACTGAAAATTATGTAATCATATTCCATATTTAAAATAAACTTCTGAGAGGTAATTAAACATTAAACATTTATGAAATAAAGTGTGACAGTATATATAAAATATTTTCACTATGGATTTAATGTCTTGACTTGGATGAAGAAAGCATTGAATTATACAGCAAAACATTTTATACTAAGGAGTAGAATTTCATAAAATATAAATAGTATGGGTAGTTCAGTTATTCATTTATTTTTTTAAGACAGAGTCTCGATCTGTTGCCCAGGCTAGAGTGCAGTGGTGTGATCTCGGCTCACTGCAACCTCCGCCTCCCGGGCTCAAGTGATTCTCCTCCTCAGCGTCCCGAGTAGCTGGGACAACAGGCACTGCCACCACGCGTGGCTAATTTTTGTAATTTTGTGAGACGGGTTTCACCATGTTGTCCAGGCTGGTCTCAAACTCCTGACCTCAAGTGATGCACCTGCCTCAGCCTTCCACAGTGCTGACATTATAGGCATGAGCCACCACAATCGGCCTAGAAGTTCAGTCAAATCTTGAAGACCTGTATGAGAATGTATTTACTTTAAGTTAGTTCACTACTCCTTCATTTTTTGTTTTAATTGAAACTGAATGTGCTTTGTTAGCCAGGTAGTGTCGAACTCTGACTCAAGCGATACTTCCTCTTAAGCCTTCGGAACAGCTGGGGCTATAAACACATGCACTGCTCCTGGCTTTTTAATGTTTACAAACTTTTTAGCTTAGATTCTTTTACAAAGATTTTACAGTCCTTCACTGAGAATATCCCATGATTTTTTTGGGGGTGGGGTTTGATTTGTATTTAAAATCTGTACCATATCCTTGAAACCACCAAATATGTTGTATTCCATTTATTTTTAGAATTAAACTTTTTTAGTAAAATGTTGAATAGGACTGACAATATTTGTAATTGAAGTTAGGAATATTTTTAGAAGTTCTAAAAATTAAGCTTTTCCATTAGTCCAAAGTAGGTACACACAGAATTCTACATCACACACACAAAACCAATTCTAGTTTTGCTAATTGATCTAACTTAGGTTGCATTTTTTTTTATTATTATACTTTAAGTTTTAGGGTACATGTGCACATTGTGCAGGTTAGTTACATATGTATACATGTGCCATGCTGGTAAGTTAGAATTAAAACCTCAGCTAGACCTGCTATCAGAACAGACATGTGAGAGGTAAAAACAAAAAGCATACTGAAATTTCTCTATGGGAAGCAGTGTCTTTGAATAGCCAACAAATCAAAGACAAACACAGAGACTAGTCAAAAATCAATCACTAAGGTAGTCATGCAGATACTTACAGTCATGAGGAAAAAAAAAAACATACAAATGAGGGATATGCAAAATTTCAATTTGAAATTTCCTGTGATCATTGGGGAATCTAATGTTTCCCAGCCGTTTAAGAAAAAGTCAGCAGCCTTGTGAGAAAACAACTATTAGGAAAAACCCCACCAAAATATGTAATAGGAGACAGAATAACAGCAAAGGCTTCATGCTGTCCCCAGACAGCACCTAGGTTAATATCTCAAGCAGCTGTCCTGATCTCTGTGGTCTAAGCTTTTAACTAACTTTAATTAAATGGAACCTTTAGTGTGCAAGGGTACATATGCCTGGGATATGAATAAAAGAAACAAACAGCAGAGCCTGGCATATGGTTGAACACACATGCATCATTTGATTTTTGATTTTTTGCAACTATATTTTAACATTCATGAGAGGTTAAAAAGATGAGAGCAGAAATAGAATTGTCTCTCTGGACTTCAACTTTTTGCCTGCTATTTCTACCATCACAGCTAGTATTAAAAAACACTATAAGTCTTAATTGTCAGTTGCACAATCTGCAATGTTTAAATGGACCCTGTGGATTTTGGTCCAAAACCAAACCAATTGGTTGCAAGCTATTTTTCTCTTCCTTTAGATGTTCTGCTGCAATATTTGCATAAATGTAACCGTGCTGTCCGTCTTTTAACTTTCACTCAATTAATTATGCTTCCAGCCCCCTGCTGATGGACAAAAATGAGACTTCATCTGCAAATAGCTTCAGCAGTTTACAGCTTATTAAATGCCAAAATCTAGTTAAGACAGTTTGAGAATTCTCATGTCAGGCATTTCAACATGCCATTTTTAACACAAAATTCTTATTAAAAAAGTGAACCCACTACTCCAAGTCAAGAAAAAAAATCACTGGTATAAAGGTAATGAACAGATTAGAATTTTATACAAATTGTGTACTTAGCATATGTGGCTTACTTTGAGCACACTTAATTGGTTTGCCTAATAATGAAACAGCTATGAGAAAGACTACCAAGTTGAGAAGAAAATGGTCTCTATAAATTACAAACTGCTTTCATCTATAGAACCACCTTTTATAATTTATATAAAAATCTGTGTATAGTCTGAAAGAAAGGCAGATGAATAGGAATTATATACTCAAATATTCTTTTAAAAATAACCTTTCTTACTTAATGTGACAGGCTTTACATATTGCGTCAAATATCTGGTGCATTCACAATCTAGTAGTCTTTATACCTTTTGGGGTTAGCTCCTTATTTAAGTCAGAAAAAGAAAGAAAGAATATGTCTGTTAAAACAGAATGAATAGATAAAACTTCCTATATCTTTTTGCATTGTTATGAAAGGATTGAAATAATTCCATAATTCTATGTGATATATTTGACCTCCAAATGTCTCCATGAGTAGTCCTATAAAATCAGATTAAATAAAAACTTCCTTGAGAAATGTGTGTGTGTGTGTGTGTGTGTGTGTGTGTAATCGAGTATCTGGAATACAGTTTAAGTGTTCTGTAGATACTTTATTTTCTATGTCTGCTTTTTAATGATGCTTTTATTGATAAAATATGTGCTTACATTTCCTCAGTTTATGGAGAGGGGGAAAATTCTATTTATTCCACTAAAAGAATTAAAATCTTTATTATAGTAAAGAATATTTTCATTTAATTCAGCCTTAAGAATATTTTAGTTATAGTCACAGAAAAGGCAGGGTAGGTGTTTATGGCAATTGACAATCAGTTTCAAATCTGAAGTGGTTGATTTTTTTCTTCAATCTTATTTCATATTATATGGGACTCTATTGCATTAGATTTTATTGACAAATTGTGTCATGTTTATATTCTCCTCTTATAAACCACCATGATAGAGCTGAATGTGACATGATGATTTATGACAGAAATGTCAGAGATTATTTTAAAATAATTTCTTTCTGATCATATACCAATTAACAGCTTTCATAACAAATCCCCAAATTCGTAGTTGACATTTGATCAAAAGGAAGATATTTCATTGCTGATATTTGAATATTTGGGATATATGAAAGAAATTTGTTATTCACTCTTAAGGGCTACTATTGTGGAAATACGTACAACAACTTTAAAGATTGCTCTGGCACAAAATATTATGCATTACACCAAACACATGATATAGCCCCCCTTTCTAGAGCTTCTGATGAGAGGGAGAAAAAGTACCAAAAAATTACGTCAGTATTTTCTTTAAGTTTTAATGAATGCTGCGTGATTTCTTAAATATATTTGTTAATAGCACATAAAAGTGTAGACTACTGGAACCAGATGAAAATGAGATGATATTATAGTCTGAATGTGTCCTCCAAAATTCATATGTTGAAACCTATTCCCCAACGTGATAGTAGTAAGAGATGTGGCCTTTAGGAGATCCTTATGAATGAGATTAATGACCTTACAAAAGAGACTTGAGGGAGTCTGTTTCCGTGCTTCCACCGTAGGAGAACACAGCAAGAAGGCATCACATATGAGGGCCTTCATCAGACACTGAATCTGTGGCTCCTTAATCTTGGATTCCCAGCCTCCAGAACTGTGAGCAATAAATTTCTGCTGTTTTTACAAATTATTACCCCATCTAAGACATTTTGTTATAAGAGCCCAAATGGACTGAGACAGATGATTTTGCTAACTTGGAACAAAGGAATATTTAAAGTAGATGAAGCTTTAAGTAACATTCAAACTTTGTGACGATATATAAATTGTTTTTTGGACATGGTTAAGCCACTCTAGGTTAATTTGGGATTTGTTTTTCTATGGATAATTAATATGTGGCAAGTGAGAGATGGAAAAGGCTTTGTTTGATTGACTTTTTTTGTTGATGTCTCTTGGTTAAAAAATGTAAAATTTTTAAATTTTCTTATTTCTTAGAAGGACAAAGAATCTATAAAATTCAGTTGTGTGAGTGTGGTTGTAATAATATGGAGACATGTTAGACATGTTCTGAAGATATTTTGTGGGGGCCTGTGTATTGGAATATAATAGAGTGTAGTGCAACTACAACTGATATGTACAGCTGATGACCATTTTATCTACCACGATTAAAATTTGAACTAGTGTCTGACAAGAGTGTAACAAATACACAACTCTAGTGTCACAAACAAAATGATTTATTAGGAAAAGAAATAGCTTATTAGCAGAGAAGTAGAAAAGCGGATATGATTCAGTCCCATGAATTCTCATTTGTCCATAGTGTAGACTAGGCATAGTGGTTCTACATGTGCCATGGCCAAGATTCTAGCAGAGGAAGCCTGCCTCAGTCACAGGCTGGACATGGGATATGTTATGAAGAAAGGGGTTCTTCAAGAGGTAACCAGCTTCTCCCATGCTTGTGCCCCACTGTCTTACATATTTACAGGTTAGCCTAAGGGGTAAGGAAATGCTGAAGTAAAAGAAATGTATCATTAAAAGATCTCCACACTCAGAAAAAAAATACTAGAGTATGAAGACTCAGGGCCCTTAACTTGCCTGCTAGGAAGCTGTTATCAGCCCAAGGCCTTCTCTCTGCAGACTGCCGTAGCGAGCGAGCTGAGCCAGCTTTCTGCTAAGAAACCCCAAAGGGAAAGGAAATAAACCACCAGGGACATCCAGACTTGTCTCCAGTCAAATAGAAACTTAGTCTTGGCCTTTTAATTTCCTTTAACCATTTTTAGCTCCTTTGGTTGTTGAAGAACTGTACATGATCCATTATTTTTCTTGTTATAAAATTATTTACTTTCTTCTTATATTCTACCAGCAAATGCCCTAGTTTACTTCCCTCACAGTCAAACTACTCTGAAGGGTTGGCTGTCCTCACTGTTCCTGTCACATTACTATCCCTTACATGGTCTCTAAATCAAATCTGGCTTCTGTAGCTTTTGTAAAACATACACTTCTCTTGGTTGCCTAAATGCCACACTCCAGGTTTTCCCAATTCTTCATTGGCCACTACCCTATAGATTACTTGGCAAATTTATTCTCTATTAACCGACCAGTGTATATTGGACATCTATAAGATCCATTGTATTGATTGATTCTGTTTCATTTTTTTTTTCACTTTTATACTCCAACTAATTTCATTCATGCCAATGGCTTCTATGACTGCTTACAGGTCTATGGCTTCCAGTTGTGGCTTCCAAAGCCATAGCCTCATCCCACAGATCTTCCCTGAGTTTTAGAAATGCATATCCTTCTGCAAATGGATACTTCTATTTAGATTTTTAAAGTATACCTCAAAATTAATAAGTCCAAGGTAAAATTCATAATATTCCTCTCAACACTGGTTTTCTTATGTTCTCTGCAACAGTGAGTGATATTATAAAACCTTCAGTTGGAACTCTCTCCTACCATGTGCTCTCCCATTGTGACACCAAAACTCAGCAAATTCTGTCAATTCTGCCATTTTAAATAATTCGTAAACTTATACACAACATCCCTACATACATTATCTCATCTTTTGCATTTGTCTTAACAATAACATTTGCTTAGATACTTCCCATAGCCTGGCGTTTTCTCTTTTAATATAAGTACCTATGTTGCAACTGGACTTACTTTTTCAAAATAAAATCACACCATTAAACCCCACACATATTAAAGCCCTTCAATAATTTCCCAGTTTTCATAAAAAATAATTTTCCTAACACAGGTGAAGTTGTTTTTTATTTTAACTATGTTTATCTCTTCAGTCTCCTCTTGTACCACTTTACCCATTGCCCTTTGCCCTCTGGGCTCTTTGGAATTCTTCCTGTTCTCTAGGTTACATAACATGTCTACTCCCTACCTTCGAATCAACACCAAGGTCTTTCAGTGTTGTATATTCACTTTGTCAGGGTGAAAGTCAAGAGCTAACCACTAGTTTTACAGCCATTCTTTTAACTTGATGGAAGCCTGAAGATTTGACCCTTGAGCTAATCCTCATCACAATGTAAAATCAAGGCATCTATAGACAGATATGGAATCTTAGATAAACGAGAAGCTGACTGAGAATACTACATCCAGAAGCAAGCACCTGTACCTCATTGTTGAAGTAATTTATTGAATAAAGGAGTAAAGAGTAACTGGTAATAATGAAGTACAGCTGCATTGGAGAATGGATTCCATTCACATATCCCTGAGGGGTAGAGAACCAGTAAAATATAAATTCCAAAGAATCCTGCAACTGACTGAATCCCTGACCTGCTATTTTGTATCCACCAATTCTTTGGCACTGTAAGCATCCCAAGTGTGGAGTTCCAGAGGGTTATGAGACTTCTATTATGCTTTTGTCATGAACTTTGTGATCCTGTTTATCCTGTTACCTCTCTTAAAGCAAAACAAACTGGTATTGGGTGTAACCTATTGTGTCCCACTAATGTATTTATTATTGATTGAAATTCAAGAAAGCCACGGCTAGACACGCAAATTAGATGTGCCACAAGAAGAGTACTTGTATGTCTACTGTGCCACTTTTCAAAATTTTGGGGGGACAGGGTCTTACTCTGTCACCCACTGCAGTGCAATGGCATGATGACGGCTCACTACAGCCTCAACCTTCCAGGTTCAAGCGATCCTCCCACCCTCAGCCTTCAAAGTAGCTGGAACCACAGGCGTAAGCCACTACACCTGACCCCATTTATTTAAATATTCCTTCTCCTCCTGATCTCATCTCCATGAATATTTCCTCTGCAAAAACTGCACTTAAACACAAGTTGTACAACTTTCTTTCAGATCCAATACATCTAATTAAAATCTTATAAAATGATTCTTCTAACATATCATAGTCATTGATTTAAGCTCCAGGAGATTGTTCACCATATCTGTTCCAGCTCACCATTATATCCTCAAGTATCCTCAAACCCTAATATCATGCCTAGTATGCAGAGAGTAAGTGATTATCTGTTAAATGTAAGTATGCAGAGCAGGTGTTGTGAAACAAGTATCAGAGGCATATGCTCTAGTCTAATAGCATGAGGCTTAGTTCTACATCCCAGGATGTAAAGTTTGCATAAGTGACTGGACAAATTAAAAATATTGTATTTGAGGCAACAATAATGTCCAATAAATCTGTGATATGGTGGCAGAGGGTGGAGGTAAACATGTAACATTAAAGAAATTGAAACAAAAAAACAGTATGGTTGGATTATAGCTAATATAAGCGTGAGGTAGAAGGGGCAGCAGAGTTCACAGTGGCCAGATCAGGAAAGCTTAATGGCCCTGTTAAAGATGTCATTTATAACTTAGTTAATGGGACTCACTGGAGAAAAATAAAAAAGATACTTTTTCCTTGTACCCAACTTTGGTTCTAATTCTTAACCTAATTCCTAACCCATTCCGCTTGCAACAGCCTCTGCAAATTCTTAGCATCCCATTTCCATGTCTATGATCGGTATTTGCTACTTTAGGTAATCTAGCATTAATAAACCACAAAATTTGAATGACTGAGTACAATGGGAGTTTGTTTTTTTCTTGCTTAATTGTTGAAATACAGCTCATACGTAGGAGACTTTCTTCCACTTAGTTTTTCAGGAGACTACAATCCTGTCTCCTTTTGAGTCTTCTACTAGCCAAAGCTTTGGCCAGAACAGGACACATTTTTTCCCAATCGTATGTCACTGGCTACGTCATGGTAACACAATAAATACAAGTGGACTTGGAAATGTCTAGCTCTGTGCCCAGGAAGAAGAGAGAAACTCTGATCTTGGAGGAGATTTAAGTCTCTGCCACGGTTCACCACAAATATCTGCGCAAATTTTACTTTCCAGAGACAGAAAACAATCATTCTTTCCCCAAAAGACTCAATCTAAAATCCCATTGAGTTCATGACTATAGTTCAGGGTCATGCATCCCGGTTTTCTTCATCACGTCTGAATACGGGTCCTCTTGACCTGGGCTAAAACACTTGTTACCTACTCCCATCCTTATACCTGTCCCCTCATTGTGCTCCCCTCAAATACTTAATATACTGTTTTGAAGCAGAAACAAGAAAATACAATAAAAACACTTTTTCAGAAAAAGGAAAATTTTGTGAGACCCGAAGAAGTCACTGTTAGCAATAACAAAATGCTGATGGCAAGCCTTGTAAGACACCTTCTCCACCAGGGGCAATTTCCTTGATTAACTCCCTAAGGCTCTAATAATTTCCTGAGTATCACAGGCCCATGAATCATGCATATGGAAAAGCTGTTTGCTTGTTCTAAATACTCCCATTGAATGGTTATAAGAGGAAAAAAAACAAACTTCAAATGTATTTGCGACATATATTTTGGGGTCTATTTGTTACAAAAGCTAGCGTCTCTCAAGCTAATCACACGCATTCAAAAGCAATGTCAGTTTGTGACTGAGGCCACATTAAAAGAAGAAAAAAGCATTTCCTATGGAGGGTTTAGAAGTATATTCAGGAAGAAATAGGAACATTAATTGTGTGACTAATTCTGCTGACCAGTTTACAACAGATAATGTGGTAATTGATAAAGATGATAACTTAATTTATTTAAGGATTGCTGTGTGGTTTTTAAAAAGAAAAATAATTACTTCTTACAACTAAAAGCTTCCCTCTCTTAAAGAGAAGCTGAAGTCAGTTAATAAAAGTGATAAGCATGAGTTGATTAATCACTGGTCTATTGGGGGAAAATGATAAATGTAGGCCCTGAAACTCATAATATTTTCAAGTTGAAACTCAAATTCAGTAATTTTCTGAATTGAAAAATAGGATATTAAAAATGTTTGCAAGCATTTGAAGAAAAATAAAATGTTTTCATAAAATTGCAAGATTGCAGATTATTAGAATGTCATGTATTAGAACTTTTTTTTTTTTAATTTTGCCTGGATTAGTATAAATACTCTCTTTGCTTGTAGGTAGAAGTCTGGAAGGTTTTTATCACAGTTGCTCTGGGAATATAAACTACCAAAGCAAAGCGAAGACATATTTTGGGGACTAGTTACAATCAGGTTTAAACTCAACAATAAAGAAGACAATTTATTTTTGTATTATCCCCAATTTATCCTCAATTCTAAACGTTCAGAGCCCACTACTACCTATTTATGCAACATCTCTTTCACATTAACCTTTTTGGGAAACAATTTACGCAGTAGAAGATCCCAAATGTGTTCGTTTCTCTCCTTCAACTTTAACTACCTGCTGTCTCTTTCATTCAAAACTCTGCATTTCTTGAATAACAGTTAATTGGATAAATGTGCAGCGTTTGAGTGACTTCATATATTAAAGTATCTTCTTTGTTTTTATATGTAATATTTGTGTATCATACAGCGTTCCTCTGAAGACACAACATTAATTCATAAAAATAACACTAAAGATGCCGGGCGCGGTGGCTCACGCCTGTAATCCCAGCACTTGGGAGGCCAAGGCAGGCAGATCACCTGAGGTCAGGAGTTCAAGACCAATATGGTGAAACCTCGTCTCTACTAAAAATACAAAAATTAGCCTGGCGTGGTGGCGGGCGCCTGCAATCCCAGCTACTCAGGAGGCTGAGGCAGGAGAATCACTTGAACCCGGGAGGCAGAGCTTGCAGTGAGCCAAGATTGCGCCATTGCACTCCAGCCCGAGTGACAGAATGAGACTCCGTTTAAAAAAAAAAAAAAGAAAGAAAAGAAAAGAAAAAGGACTTCATATCTTCATATGTCTTCTTTTCTAGTCTACTAATTCGTTTTGAGCATTGTATCACACGTACAGGAGTGTGTATTAATGAGTTTAATATTATCTTTCTACACCCGCTAGCCAACATATGCTTTTATAATTTCCTGTGCATGCCATACTATCTTTCCTACATGCCTTGTCCACATCTTTTCCCCAAAGTCCTCTGCAATGATTCTTATGCTTGATATTCAACAAATTTTTCAACACAACTCAAGGTCACTTCTTTATGACAGCATCTTTCATTCTTGCCTGCCTGTCAACATCCGCAAGCCCTATCCTCTAATTCATTGCTTACCAAATTTTATAATAACTTTTCTAATTCATTTATCTCACAACTAAACTTTGCAAACTTATTGAGGGCAGAAATTTACCATTGTATCTTTGTAGAAACCAATAATTCCCTTAGCTAGGTACAAAGAAATGTGTGTGGAGTGAATGAGTAAATGCGGGAATAAATGCAACAGTAAATTTGAAGTGGAAATATGATGGTGGATAAGTTATTGTAATAATAATGTCAGAGCCAACATAAGAATTAATGAGAAGTGACACACGCAAATTATAATGTTTGATCAATTGAAAGTAACTGAATTGTGGTTGATCACTTTTTTCATGATTATGATGTAAAATATTTCAAAGTGTACCTTAGTTGATATTTATAATCCTTCTGAAATTCACAATGCAGTATTATTACTATTCCTTTTTGATAGACTCTTTCCCAGCATCAAAATAACTTCATTCTTTTTATTTGCTTGTTTTGTTAGTGACACAGTAAGTGCAAATTGACCTCAGGCTCATTTCCAGAAATCCCCAGTTCAGTGGAACCCCTATTAGATTCACCAATTTTTTCCTCCCTTGAGCACTAAAATGAGACTCAAAGCTTGTCATAGATATTATAATAAAAGTGTCACCTCTACTTCCATCCCTGTTATCTGGATTTGGGACAAAAGCAAATCATATTCTCTGCCTCAAAGCATATACTATATGTCACAAGAAAGTACTTTAGCCTCACGAGATAATTGTCTGCCTGCTGTTAACAATAGCCAATTTTTAATTGTCCTTTCTACTGTTTTACAAGGCCATTTGGTTCTGTATTAGATAACCAAGTGCAAGCTAAGACAAGTGAATACCAAGGTGGTTCCTATTACTTCACACCGTGAAGTAAACTTGGATACTATGTTTGGCAGGATGTCATTCAATGAGTATTTCTAGGAAGGATAAGGCAGGAAAAAAAGTCCAAATTAAGAATGAATGTGTGTTACTATGAGAAGAATTGCTAACTAGGTCTTTCCCCCTTGGTGAAGGGGGCTATAATATTGTCTCCTAAGGCCCAGATATATGGAAACTTACCACAAGCTGTGGGCTGCTCCATGTTTGGGAACTCAGCAGTGACTCTAGTCAGCTCACCTTTGGTAAGGAAATGTCGTAGAGTCTGTTTTTTTAAACCATAAATGTCCATAATCCACTGTAACAGAATTTTCAAAAGAATAAGATTCTTTGCTGTTTTGTCTTTTTTAGTAGTTTCATTACTGTGTTATAAAAATCAAGAGCTAGGTCTGGCACAGGACAGGAATTTAACAAATATTTGTTGACTAATGATATTCATCCCTGTACCCATGGATGCTTTGTTTATGAAGTCATTTTTTGGTACCACTAGGCTGGCAGAAAAGGCAAATTACAAACACCCTTAAAATAGTTTATCTTCCCCTCCAAGCACTAACCAAGCCCAACTCTGCAATCAAAGCCATAATGAAACCATCTTATACCAGGCAGAATGGCTATTACTAAAAATAAAAAAAAAAAAACAACAACAGATGCTGGCAAGACTTGGCAAGATTGTAGACTGTGAAGAAATGGGAACAAATGTATACTGATGGTGGGAATGTTTTCAGCCACTGTGGAAAACAGTTTGGAGATTTCTCAAATAAATTAAAACAGAACTACCACTGAACTCAGCAATCTCATTACTGGGTATGTACCCATAGGAAAATAAGTAGTTTTACCATGCGCTTGTATATTCATCACAGTACCATTCACAATAACAAAGACATGGACTTGTATGTTCATCACAGCACCATTCACAATAACGAAGACATGGAATCAACCTAGGTGCCCATCAATGGTGGACTGCATAAAGAACGTGTGGTACATATACACCATGGGATAGTATGCAGCCATAAATCATTCTACTATAAAGACACATGCACACATATGTTCATTGCAGCACCATTCACAATAGTGAAGACATGGAATCAACCTAAATGCCCATCAATGGTAGACTGTATAAAGAAAATGTGGTACATATACACCATGGAATACTATGCATCCATAAAAAAGAATAAAACCATGTCCTTTGCAGCAACATGGATGCAGCTGGATGCCATTCATCCTAAGCAAATTAATGTAGAAACAGAAAACCAATACCACATGTTCTGACTTGTAAGTGGGAGCTAAGCATTGGGTACATGTGGATATAAAGATGAGAAAAATTAGACACTGGGACTACCAAAAGGAGAAGTGATGGAGAAGGGTAAGTGCTGAAAAACTACCTAGTGGGTGCTATGCTCACTACCTGGGTGGTGACCATTTGTACCCCAATCTCAGTGTTATGCAATATACTCATGTAACAAACCTGCACACGTACTCCCTGAATCTAAAATAAAAGTTGAAGTTATTTAAAAATTTGTTTTTCCTGACCATTGGGTTATTTAAAAACGTATGATGTCTCTGGTACATTTCTTTGTGTGAGAATCTACAGTAGAGATCTATAATCTCAGATGTGATAGCCATTCCAAAGTATCTATCTTTAGATTACTTCTCCACCCTCCTTTTCACCAATCATTGTAAAATATTTGCCACTACTCAATAATCTGTATATAGCTCTATCCAATCCTGTCTTTTTAAATCATTTAAGAGCAACATACACTATTGGAAGTTATGGTTATCTAAAAATTTCCCTCTCCACTAGTCAGTACAGGCTCCAGAACCTAGACTCTTAAGCCTAGTGGTATATTATTAGCTTTCAGCTAATGCTGCGTTATTGTCCAAAGACATTTCTAAACCAAACTTGACTTTTTATTTCATTATTAGTCTAGAGAAAAGAGCTAAATTCCGTATGAGAAATAGATTGAAGGGATAACCTCTAGAACAGTTTCTCTCTGTTTTCACATGCCAGAGGAATGTCAACTGATAAAATGGAACTGAAATGGCTTCCCCAATGTTAATGGAAGAACAGACTTGTCACAGACTACCTGGTATGGTGGCAGCAGGGTAAATTTAAAAATCACATCTCTGGGATTGGGCAAGGTGGCTTGTGCCTGTAATCTTGGTGCTTTGGAGGGCCAAGGAGGGAGGATTGCTTGAGGCCAGGAGTTAAAGACCAGCCTGGACAACACAGCTAGACCCTGTCTCTACAAAAAAAATAAAAATTAAAAAATTATCTAAGTATGCACCTATAGTCCCAGCTACTTTGGAGGCTGAGGCAGGAGGATTGCTTGAGCCTAGCAGTTTGAGGCAACAGTAAACCATGATGGCACCACTGCATTCCAGCCTAAGCAATAGAGCCAGACCCTGTCTCAAAACAACAACAACAACAAAATCACATCCCTGGGGACCAACTGACACTGACATCCCTGGTTATATCCCATGAATTATGGGATTACCACAAATAAACTTGACAAAGTACTAGCACTTTATATATTGGCCACAGAAAAGGAAAGAAACAAACTTCTGGTTTTGGCAAACAGAAGACTTCAGACACTATATTAGACGTTCATGGACTTTTCCCCAATTTTAGACATGAGTCAGGCACCACCCTGAACTCTTGAAGGTTAGGAAGGTGCCCCTGAGGAAGGACTCTGTATTTATCTTTTAGACGTATTAGAACAGGTGCCCTCTTACTTTATGCCTTTTGCCTAATATATACTCTCTCTGGTAGTTTAAGGGAAATTTCAGCCCATCCTTTCTGTATAATAACTAAAATTTTATTTCACTTTTGTCATATTGAAATTTTCTTCATCCTTATTAGATTTATATTATCCCCCCACACAGTTGTGATATCTTAGAAATCTGTGATAAACTTTTTAAATTCAATATTCCAACGTCAGCATCTTTCCATATGTTTGCTGTATTGCACTGAACTGAAAACATGTTATTTCAAAGCATTTTTCCTACTAAAACCAATTAATTATAATGAAATGTATTTTAGAAATATGTTTTCTCTCAATTCCTTTATGTTTTTAGGCTTAGCAAGTTCATAAATAATGACAAAATTGAAGAAGAATATGTGAGACATTCCCAAATCTTTGGATATGGTGAAAAAGGTTTATTATTTTAAATGAAAACAAATACTTTATAAAAATATATATAAATGTTCCATATATATTTTTCTCTATTGACACTGTTGGACCATAGAGAGGTATATTGGTCAATTATTCATAGAGACAAACTGTATCACAGTGGTAGCAGGGAGAGCAAACAGAAAAGGAAAAAGAAACAAATTCTGTTCTCTTGTTATGCTACACTTACACCATTCTATGAATCATAGGTATGACACAATCATAGGTATACTTTTTTTCATAATTTGTAAAATACAAATCAAATATTTATCTTTCATTATTAAAATTATTCATTGTCTGACAAAATCTCTATTCGTTAGTATCAAATATGAAGCATGTCACGATTCAGTCTTTACCAAAATTCTCTGGCTTCATATCGCACCACAAGACACCTCTTCATCCCCAGCTATGACGATTACTTGCATTTGCTTGAATCATGCTCCTTTGACATCTCTATATCTTTTGCAGAGGCATATATCTTTCATACCTTCTTCATTTTTTCAACTTCTGTTCCTCTCATCCTTTGTCTTATGTAGGGTTTTCTAGAAGCAGATCTTGAGATGAGATTTAGATAAAACTAGTAGTAGAGAGGAAAAGTGGGAGAGGGAAGTTATGCGAGGAAATAAACTGTGTGCTGTTAAGCAAGTTAATACTGAAGGCAAATGGAGTTTAATCCTGTGGGATCTTTGGAAATATGTAAAACAAGCCTGAGAGCTATCCCACAGGCCACATGCAACTGTGGTGCTAAGGTAGTCACTAACTCCCTAGTCACTGTTTAGTCATTCGGTCATTTAGTTTTAAAAGTTTGTTTACCTTAATTTTCTCTATTGTACCAGCAATATTTATTGCTGGATCCTTATTTGACTTTTTTCTCCCATTTCCGCTTGTGGAGAAAGGGTTTCTGAAATTTAGTAACTACACTATGACAAAATGTAACTCTACACTGTGTCTGAAAATGGGAATATATACCTTCAAATATTTGTTTTTACCATAAAATGTATTAGAGAGATATCCATAAGAAACATTATGGAAGTCTATGTACTGACCATATCTTTTCGGTTGTTTATAAGCCTACTTTAGAAAATTAATTTGAGAACAAAGTAAGCAATTTTAGTCAAGGTGCTATTCAAGTTTCTGTTTTGTTTTGTTTTGTGTTCTCAATGAGAGTTGAGAAAAGCTCTTCATTATTTTAGTTTTCATTTGCTTTTTACTGTTATAATGTCAAATCATATACAGTATATTACAGTAAAAGCAAACATGTTAACCTTATGGTTCTTTTTTGAGTGTTAATGATGATGTTTTTCATTATTTGTTTTTGTAACAGAGCATTACGGCAACATTGGAAAAAATAAATTCTGTAAAACATTTTATCACTTATTCATCTTAAACAAAAGTTTCATCATATTTCAATATGGTACAATATTGCAGTACAGAATTATGCAAACTAAAAGGCATTTCCACCTGCAGAAAAACTGATTGTTATTACAGAAGCTGAGGAATGAAAGCAGATGAAGAAAGTTACCTGTGTTGTATTGCAGCAATAAGTTTTTAAAACACTCACAATCTAGTGTTGTCAATAGCTCAGTGATGATCAAATATATATTTTCATTATGTGCAGATTTTCTGGCCAGTGCTGAAAACAAGTAAGATACCACTCAGCATAAAGGGAGAAAAACAAATCTGAAAGCAAGTGACACAAAAAACTTGCAATCTAAAAGCAAGTGACACACAAAAACAGGCTGTTATTGTGTACCAGAAAAGCTTGTAAATCATTTTGAAAGATGTGAGCAAGTGTTAGATGTCTTCAGAAGGGACTATATAAAAATATAAGATCCAGATATCAAATTCAAGCCATGCTGTAAAACATTTTGTTCATGTGGACTGTGATTATCGCATTTAGAACTCTAGAGTTCCAACACTTAGTTGGTATTAAGTGTTGGAACTTATACCATAGCGGAACTTACCACTATGAACCCACTGCCCAATCTGTAAAATGTGAAAAATGAAAGCCTTCCCCCAGAACTGTTGAGGCTCTCTTCATAGCATGATTTCTCAAGGTAAGCAATGTGGGCCACCTGCCTCATATCACTCAGGAGTTATCCAACAAATGATGGCAGTTCCCGTCTCAGACCTACTGAATAGAAATCACAAGAGGGCAGTGGAAGAGGCAGAAATCCACCTTTTTAACAAGCTCTGCTGCTGATTCTGGAGCCCCCATGACTATAATATGGAGTGATTAGATGTGAGTTGAATTACTTTAATTTTTTATATCCTAATGTTTTTTCAAGTATTTGGACGTTGAAATTACAAAACACATTAAAATATCTTTTCCCAAACCAAAGGCCTTATAAAGTAATATAACTAATAATAAAATTTTCCTCATAACTGCAATAAGAGAGATAATATTTCAAACCTATTATGAATGAATGAAATTTCAAAGTATTTTAAATTGTCTCTAAGGAATGTTCATTGTCTTATTGATTTTTATCTCTATCCATTAAAAAATATCTCTGTCTATGATTACTAATCTGTTAAACTTTGGTTCTAAAATCACAAACTGTTCCTCTTCAGACATCGTTCTACTGCATCTGCAAAATTTCAGGACTTGTTGTGAAATAATCTGGTTGGGTGTTTAGAACATGATTCGCTAATAATAAAAATAACTCTTTATGTACCAATTATTTTCTGTCTTATTCCAAAATGTACTTAAAATATTACACATGACTTCTAGTGAATATCTATTTTTAAAAGTTAGTATACAGGGAAAATGAGAAGAAGATAAAGTATATTACACAAAAATTCATTTTGTAAGTTATTGTGCAGTTATTACAGATAAGCACCAAATTTAACTTACTTACAAATTTACTTGACCCAGTCAAGTAAAGAAAGAAAGAAAAAAGATAATGAATGAACAAATAACAAATAAATAACAAGCCAGGTAAAAATTTGATTTAATTATATATTATGTTAAATCTATATTAAATCTATCTATCTATCTATCTATCTATCTATCTATCCTTCTATCAATCTATGTATCTATTTTTTTCTTAACTTAAAAACTCTGCTCCAGAGTTGGATCTTGTGACCCACTTTATACACCTTAACACACAAATACTAATAACACATAACTCACAGGTAGAGGATATTTAAGCCAAACTTTGTGACCTCTATTATCCTCAGGGACCCTCTCTGGTAAATTGGATAACATGACAACTGGCTTCCATAATAACCTGTAAATAACTCTGTTGTAACACCCATTCTCCACCCAACATTTTAATTCTCTCTCAATTTCTGTCATCACCACTGGAGTATAAACTACCAGACATAAAGAATTGTTGCTCCTTTTCTTGGTATCTCCAGCACTATTCTATCAGGGTACTGCATGAATGTTTGTTGAATGTTAAGATTAAAAGAGCGTTTTTCTACAGAAAATTGAGGGCTACCTTCATTTCATGTCTTGTTTGGAAAAAATAATTTCGGTGTCCCAGTTCCCATGCATCAGTCACAAGCTCCTCTTTTTTTGCTGAGATTCATTTTATCCGTATGCAAGCTGAATTTCTCTGATAAGTACGAGTTCACAATTTGTGTGTGTATATTACCTTCTTCAGAGACCTTTATTAAATTCACATAATGTAATATATGGGAGTTTAGATTATTTAATTCTCTAAAACTTATACTATGAAGAAAATAAAGCTTAACTTACCATTGCTGAGTTGCAACCTTAATCCATTCCAGGGGATTTTCTTTATTTTCATAGCTTAGATTAATATATAATTAATTTTACAAATGTAATGTATTTTGCCAATAATTTTAATATAGATTATATAATTTCATAATGGTACTAAAGACTTAGTCACAATACTATGTAATTTACTAAAATTAAGAAATTTGTGAGTAAATTAAAGTTAGTGAAACTTGGTTGCAAAGAGAGAGCAGAAAAAAAAATTACTCCCGTGGCAGTAATTTCAGTTCCTGCTGAATAGTTCAGGTCAGCATATTCTATGAACCCTGAAATATCCAAAGATACTTGGATATATAACTCATAACACTTGGGTTACAATTTTTTTCAATTTTTTTTGAAATTGAGCTTTCACAAAACTAATAAGTTGATTGGATTATATTTCTTACTTTTTACATATTTCTTACATGACATTTTGTAAACACTTTTTTCTGTTGTTAGAATCTAATACTTTCCTTGTAGTTTCTAGATATGAATAACTTCCACTTTCATTGACTACTTTTCTTTTAAACTATTGACACTGGTAAAAGAAAGGCAATTAAACTGATTTTTGCCATTTTACCCCGTAATTTCTTAAATTTCAATTTCACAAATACAAACATCTTGAAATTTCAGCTTTCCTTGCATGCTATGGAAAAATGTGTCACGTATTTCTCTTTAGTAATGTCTGCTGTTTCCATTAAAGCTTCTTCAAAATGGGTTAAGGGTGGTTAAATGGATCAAGAATATGTTGTAATTAGTAAAATTGAATATTTCTTTGCCTAAATCACAGTATTCCTTTCCTTGATTTACTTTCATCAAAGAAAGTCATTACTCAAGAACATATAATTAGCTTGTTTTAATCTTATTATTTTCAGTCACCTACTAAAGTAATTAGCTTCCTCTTTTCTTTTTAGTTAGAAAATTACTAAACGATCAATGCACGATACATCATTTTCTACTCTACAGCACCAATTACTTTGATGGTCAGTGTAAATTTATTGATTTTTCTTATTAGTATATTATCACCAGATATTCATAGCATGGTGTTTGTTATTAGCAAGAGAAATATAGATTTATTTGTAAATAATTCTCATTCTGTTAAGTTTCTTGCCTAGAACATGTACAGTTAGTATGCTATCCGCTAATGGGATGTGGAAAGAGGTTAAGGATGGAGTTTACTTTTCATTCCTGCAGTGTCTGTAATTTCCCCATTGAGACGTGTCATGAAGTTAGCACAAAATAAAAAATAAACCTGCTTGTGTAAATTGCAAAGTTAGAAAAAGTTGTTTTTCTGGCCTTTGTTCTCAAATTGAATTTATTTATTTTTTCTTATGATCAAAGAATACAACGGCAGGAACATTGTACCCTCTTTACAATGGTACACACTTTCTTTATGTTATTGATTATTAACAGATCTTAAAAGTTACAAAGATGAAGTAAATATAATGTGATATAATGATGGATATATTTTTTGGTTATTTGTATATTTGTCTTATTCACCTACTAGACCAAAACTTCCTGAAGAGCAAGAAATGGAAGTGAAAGAGAAGGGAAATATTATTACGCACACAATTATGCATGCCATTTTGTCAAATGTTCTTATATGTCATGTTTTAGTCATTTCTCTTTTATTCATTCATTCAACAAGTATGCAAAGGGCCTACTATATGCCAGGAAATCTAGGATTCTGGGATATGGTGGAGAACAACATAAGAACCATGCTTTAGTGAGTCCCATATTCTAATATGGAAGACAATTATAAATAAATAATTATATAACAACACAAGTAAAGTTCCAGACAATAAAAGAAAATTGGATAGGGGATTAAAAAGAAAAAAACAAGAATGATATTTTAGATGGGGTAATCAGGGAAGATCTCTCTTTGAATATTAGCTTAGAGCAGAAAAAAGATTGAAATATAAAACATATTCACGAGAATATCTGAGTGAACAGAATTCTAGAATTGGGGTCCAGTAGCACAGATGTCCTGGCTAGAGCATGGTTAATGGAAGAAACATCAGTAAGAACAAGAGCAGGGTGTTGCCCCTACTGTTCTTTTTTTCTTTCCTTCTATTGGTTCATTTGTTCTTTCCTACTTATTTGCCCATTTATCTGTTTCTGTGTTGATGTCCTCATATTCATAATTTTTTTGTTTGTTTTTTTAAGGGGTTGAGAAGACTTAAAAAGGCATCCCTCAACCTGTGGTTATACATATATTCTACTATATTTTAAAAAAAATTATAGTTTTATATATTTAATTTTTAAAACATTTAGAGTTCATTACTGAGTGAGATATGAAGCAGGTTTTGTGATTAGTATTTATTTTGTTAAATAAATATCCAACTAATCTAACCTCACTCATTGTCCATTCTTTCACATTTGGTTTGAAATAATATCTTTATCACATACCAAATTCCAGTTCACCCATATATCAATGTCTGTGCTCTATTTATTATAATGATGCCCATTCTTACATAATTATTGTATTTTTAATATGATATATCTGTAATTTGCCTGAAATATAGTATACATGTTTTTATTTGATTTTTATTTTTTTAAAATTTTAAAGTAATGTAATTTTAAGACTCATAGTGTCAATTGATATAAAAAATTCCTAGATTTAGTTTGGAAAGACATTGACTTAATAGATTAATTAGTCAATTCTCATTTCTATATTTTTTAATATTCTTTTTTTAAAATTATACTTTAAGTTCTGGGATACATGTGCAGAATGCACAGGTTTGTTACATAGGTATACATGTGCCATGGTGGTTTGCTGCACCCATCAACCCGTCATCTACATTAGGTGTTTTTCCAAATGCTATCCCTCCTCCGGCCCCCCATCCCCCAACAGGTCCCAATGTGTGATGTTCCCCCACTGTGTCCATGTGTTCTCATTGTTCAACTCCCACTTATGAGAGAACATGGCATGTTTGGTTTTCTGTTCCTATGTTAGTTTGCTGAGAGTGAGGGTTTCCAGCTTCATCCATGTCCCTGAAAAGGACACAAACTCATCCTTTTTATGGCTGCATAGTATTCCATGATGACATGTGCCACATTTTCTTTATCCAGTCTATCATTAATGAGCATTTGGGTTGGTTCCAAGTTTTTAATATTCTTATGTGCAGTCAGGACTTCAGTCTTCTTTGTCAGTAAAGATGTATAGTTTTTGCAATGAAGGCTTAGACATTTCATATTTAGTTTATTCTTAGGTACTTTATTAATGTTGCTGATATCATATATGGAGTATATTTGTACAACTGGCTATTTTTGTGTTATGTAATTTTTTGTTGTTTTTAGTAGATTTCAAGGGAGAAGAAGAAAGCACAATGTCTTTATTCTGCTTTTTGAATCTCTTATTTTCATCTAAATGTGAATTTGAAAAGTAACATTATGCTTTTGATGTAAATGTACTCATGTATAATAAATTAAAATTTAGATTGTTTCAATAAGCTGCAGAGGCTGTATGTAATTCAACCTTGAAGGTAGCTTATGGCTTTAGCATTCTGCCTTGGTAGAATTAAGTTCATATATTTAAAACGTTAACATTAGAGCTACTAGTATCTATATATTTTGTATATTATATTTTCCTTGGTTAACTAAGAAGAATAAGTTCCTTTCATGGAACTTAGCTTTGAGGGCTAACGTGCTCCATATTCTCTTACATACATAATTACTTACTCTATTGATCTTGACTGGGATTTTTATTTTCCCCTGCTGCTTAAATCCATTATTATTGATGATTATGTAAAACACAATTGGAAGGCCCATTGAATGAGCAAATAACGATATACTCAGAGATTCCTGAACATAGTATAATATTTTTCTTATTTTAATACATTTTGGTTACTAAAAAAAGTGTAACTTGTATGCATATGTCTTAACAACATAGATAAATATTCATGGGCTTAGTACCCTAAATTAAATTTTAAGCTAATATTAACAGTTAACCATTTAGGTTTAGATAACAGTGTCAACTCAGCATTTTGGTTTGTTTGAAGTAATTTTGAAAAAAAAAATCTAGATCCTATCATGCACTTAGTAGGATGCTAATTGATATCATTGATTCAGAGAATGGCTTGTTTCACCACTCTTTTTTTTTTTCACCATCTCAGAAAGGCTTTATTTCTAATTCATCACAATCTCATACAGACTCAGAGCCACCATCATGTGTTTCCATTTGGTATCCTCGTGACTTTTCGTAGTGTTTTCCCTTAAACAAGAACATTTTGAGTAAACTCTGTACATTGCCAGTTAATCTTTTCACAAATAATTTAAAAATGTTGTTGCTGTTGTATCTTCGATGCAAGAAGACCAACAATAAAAGTACAGTACAAGGAAATTCATAACGTATTACAGTGGAACAGACTGAGTCACATTTAGGTGATGGCGAGGACACAGTAGCAGTATATACCTGCACTGGAAGATGTGCAAGCCAAGTAGGATAATATATGGATCATACAGTGAATTTTCTAAGCCCTATGAGGACTTTGTACCTTTTCAAAGATGTCCTGTATGCCCTCAGTATACAGAATATCTGTCTTGTCTACTGGCTTCATGGCTTTTTCACTGCAAAAAGTTCACTGAAGCAGATAGTTTGAAGCTTTAAAAATTCTTAAAAAACAGTAACACTGACAAAAGAAAATTAACTTAATCCACTCTAATTCAACATAGAAATAAACCGAACCAAAATGTAAAGGTGCAAATTTAACAGAGAGGTAGTCAGGTATTCACAGCGAGGGTGACCAGAATCTCTTAAAGTGTACATTTTTTAAACTTTTATTTTTTAAATCTAGTTATACCTTATTTACCTTTTTGTTTAATATACTGTGTGTAAAAAAAAAGATGGAGACAAAAATAGTTTTCTGAGCTATTTATTTATTTATTTCTGAGTCACATTTACTGTGTCATTTTAGAAACATCTCAGTTTCACAGGTTGAACATTCAGCAGCTGTGTGTTTTTTAAAAAAACATTCTTTGACCTTGAGAAAACTAGATCTCTCCTTTTGGGCAGAGTTTCGTTCATGGCGATGGTGTGGTTGTGCAAAAGACAGTGAATTATACTGTGATAATCCATGCAAGCTTGCATCATGATGTGGCTTCTCCTCGGACGGCTCCTCGCCACTGTGCTGCTCCAAGGGCGTCGGGTCTCCGGGTGACTGAGGTTGTGAGGCAGCGGGGGAATATGGGGCCCAACGTGACGGAGGGCGACTGTTTGCTGGCCTCTCGGAACTGGAGAAGCAGGTCTCTAGGGATCGAACTAGTGCAGAACAAGGTAGTTCCTCCATGGCCCCTGGCTCGGCTGTGTCCCTCAGCGAGTGGCTGTCGCTGTGGGGCCCCGGAGGCCCGTGGGCAGCCTGCCTCCTCTCCTCCTTCACGGCATACTCCAGCAGTTTCCTGTTGAGGATCCGGGCCACGTTCTCAGTCAGTGTGTAGCCACGGGGAGCGGGTAAGTCCTGCCTCGCTGGCGTGCCCTCTCCCCCTTCCTCCCTGCACATCTCTGAGCCCACGCCAATGGGGCTAGGCGACCTTTCTCGGGAATTGGTGCCTTTTCCTGGCCTGGGCCCAGCTCTGGTAGGTGTTCTGCTGAGTAAGACCGACTGCCGGCCCGCATCCCCTTCTGGAAGGGGTCCTGCACCACAGGGCCGTGGTCCATGATGTTGAAGAGGCTGGAGAGGCCGTCATTGATAGTGGTGTGCACGGGGCTCTCCCTGGTGGTGGTGGAGCGGGCCCAGGCTGACTCACTGTACCCTTTCTGGGCTGTCCCTGGTGACGTCCTGTTATTTGGCTGGTCAGCTTTGGGGAGGGGCTCCCTCTGCAGCTTGGGAGAAACGTACTTGGGGGAGCAGCATGTGCGTTCAAACTTGGCCTGCACCTTCTTGATGGAGGGGCCCCCTGTCAGCTCCTAAGTCTTCGGGAAGGAGAGACATGGGTGTAGCACCACCCCCAGCCTTTGGCGTGAGACACTTGTGGGGGCTGCTGGTGACACCCCTGCCACGCAGGGCTTCAGTCTGCAGGCCCACAGTGATGGTCTGAACAGTCTGGGTCCCCATCATCCATCACTTCTCTTTTTTAATGTGGTCACCACCACCTTGAAAGTGCTAACTTGTATGAAGAGATACTGCTGTACTGCTGTCTCTCACATTTTATTTCTTTTCTATTGTGACTGCCTTCTTGGTCCAGATTTTAAATGTAATCATTTCTGAATTACTTATGTTGGTAATATTTCAGAGTTTGGGCTCTAGAGTCAGACTGTATTTCAATCGGAATCCCAATATTTCTCAAATGCTTGAACTTCAGCTATTAGGTTTACTACTCCATGCATCAGTTTTCTAATCTTTAAAATGACAAAGCACACTAATTACTGCGTGTTGCTATTATCAAATATATTACCTCACTTTTATTGATGGTACAGTGTCAGGCACTATTAGCAATTATTATTATTATTATTTCTGAAAATATTCCCTCCCTATTAGGGCTCTCACGTTGTTTCAGCTTGTATTTTTGTAAGTAATTCCATCAAATGACAAGATGCTTTCATAAATCTTGCCACCTCGAAATTTTACGGTGCAGTGAAATATAAGTCCAGTTGTAAACAGGATGCCAAAATCTTGTCCTCGAAATTTTAATCTACTGGAAATGTCCATTTAGTTATATATATTTAATATAATCATTTCATATCCTCAAATAGGTTCTCCTCATGTTTTTCCGAGTTTAGACAAATTTTTTCCACTATTTTCCTAGTTACTCAAGTTTTACATATTTGCTCACGTTTGAGCCACTTATTCCCATTGCTTTCCCAGCTCCATAATTTTTCTGTTACTAGAAACGTTTACCTTTACTGGATTACTCACAGTCTACTAGAACCAGAATCCTAAGTCTCCAGTTACTGTAGCTTAATATCATTTAATTGATACCTTTTGCTTTAGAATTTCCACACTACAGCCGATCCTGGTCATTACTGAGGATTAATTCCCCCAAGGGGAAGTTCAGGTCAAGCCTCTCCCTTTGAACAAAGCTGAAATTGCTTCACACTCTCCCAGGTCTTCAGCCTGGCATTCACCACCCTGTGTGCCTTTGCCTAATTTACTAGTCTCTTTGATTAGTTACTCACTTTCCCAGTTGTCCCATTTATAGTCAGTTCTTCATCCAGCATGGTCTACTTTCCCGTTTTTATTTCCCTAATTTTTTTTGCATTCCTGTTATACCTTTATTGAAGCTTTTTATGGTGAGTGAAAAGCCTTCTCACTACATTCCCAACTCTTGTGGGAGATCTGTGTTCTTTGTCTGCCTACCCAGTATCCTAATTTCATCATAGTTCTTAGATGTGCCACGGAGAAAGCTCTCATTCCCCTGTTCCTGGCCATGAAAATTGGATGGAGCTGATTCTATGCTTAGTTCCAAGAGTGGATACAAAACTTAGGAATGGCTAAGTCATCAACTGTATTTATTTTGCTTGAGTGATTGGTTCAGGAATGGACACATGGTCCCATTATAGCTAATAGTATGTATTTTCTGAAGGTAAAAGGAAAGAAGCTCTTTATTTTCTGGTAGATCTGCAATGGATCACGAAATGGATAAGCCTCTCTCAGAGTTAAGCCTACATGGAAAAAAGCAGAACCCAGCTATGGGGAATGAGAAAAAGAGATAGCATAGAAGCAGAAGTAGAGCAGAAATAAAAGTAGAAGGAGAAAGGGAGGGAAAAGATCCATGATACCTGGTGATCTGGTGAATCCTCAAATCTAGTATATCCGTAGATTATAATTTATTAAAAAATATTAAGCCTTTTTACTTGAGACAATGTGGGTTGGTTGAAATTTGTTGAAGTTTAGACAAGGATGAAGAGGAAAATTTTATTGCTAAACATTAACATAATAAATATGGAAGTGCCTAATAACTTGTATTGTAGACCCTCAAATTTTGAACTGAAAGACACGTGTATACATATTTGAAAGGTTAAAAATTTATATGAAGAGAACAACTTCAGGGTTATTTTTCTTTCTAATAACATGGATGATTATGTAAAATAAATAAAAATATCTCATTTTATTATACGTTTCAAACTGGCTTATAGATTATCAGTAGAAAATGTTTTCTTAAGTAGGCATGTTATATAATTTATATGACTACAGTTTATTTGAAGAGGTAGTTATTCAAACTTAACACAGACCATCTTTTTTAAGCAAATGTAAAGATTGTCAAAATAACTAGACTAAAAATTAAAGTGAGCGTATAACACAGGAGGAGGCACTGCATGAAAAGTGCATGTGCTTAGTCTTTGATGATCAGCTCCTCCAAATAATGTGTTTCTGTAATTCTATTTCTTATGTGGCACAATCTGTTTATGATAAGACCATATAACTTTTTTTTGGAATGTTACTTTATCTTACTATGTTGGGAACTTTTGTTCCACACTGTCCTTTGAACTATTTTTTTTTTTTTTTGATGGGCTATATAGTTCATTTCCTAATAAAGCTGATAGGCACCTGGCCTGGGAGGTTGGTTTTTGTCTTTGGCTGTGTCAATGAAGACAATTAAAATGAAAAGCACATTTACATAAGAGTAGAAAATTGAGATTAAAGACAGCAGTGTTAGCTTTTGTTATCTTAGTAATATTCTAAATTTTATTTGCTCTAGTTGTCAAGAATAGACTTGAGTTCAGGGATTTTTTTTTTTTTTCCGCAGAAGTCAGTTCACCTGAAAGTGAGGTCGATTTATTTAAGAGACAGGAAGAACATAATTGACAGAGCCTGTGGCCCTGCTATCTTTTTTGTATGCTTGCATGATTTTGTAGGGTTTCTACTATAAGTGTGGCTGTTTGAAATGGTTGGGGTCAGGTAAAACAGCAGGGAAGTTTGGAGAAAAGTAGAAAAGTATTGAAAAAACACATAATCCCAATGGAATTGTTACTCTGGGTAGTTGCCAAACTCATTTCTGTCACACTTATTTGTTGTACATGGTCTGTGCTTTCATTATGAAGTGATTTTGCAATGGGGTATACTAAGCATAGCTTTTTTATTTTTGAAATATGTTTTCTGATATATACATACACATACACATACATGTATGTGTGACAATATTCTACACAGGCAAAATTTTCCTGCTTCTGTCTCCCTGAATGCATTATTACATTTCCTCAAATTATAGTATTACATGATTTTTCCCTTTCTTGTCATAAAGAGGGATGTAGCAAACAAATGGAATGCTAAACCGGTGTCAAATTATGTTTCCACTCTAAATGATTGCTAGTAGTTTCCCAAATGCTTGGATTAAGAGACTATGTGGCCATGTTTGGGTAAAGTGGGACACGGCTGTGATTAATGCTCCAATGTGATATGTGTACAGCACTGAATTATATACTTCCTGCACATGTGTAGAGAAACAAGCATTGAGCAACTGTTCATTTCTTCATATTTAAAACATTAGTTTTATTTTACTCAACATAGCCTAAGTTTACATGCATATTCCATTTTTTCCATAATATACTTTCACAAATATTTCTCACAGATATTTAATGTCTACAACTTCCATATCTGGAATCATTACCCTATTATTGCCCTAAGGGTAACCTTTCATTGTGTGTGTGTGTGTATACATACATATAAGATGGAATCTCGCTCTGTCACCCGGTCTGGAGTGCAGTGGTGTGATCTTGGCTCATTGCAACTTCCGCCTCCCAGATTCAAGCAATTCTCCTGCCTCAGCCTCCTGAGTAGCTGGGTTTACAGGAGTGTGCCACGACGCCCAGCTAAATTTTGTATTTTTAGTAGAGATGGGGGTTAACCATGTTTGCCAGGCTACATATATGTTCTATTCAAGTGGTGGAACACACACACACACACACAGACACACACACACACACACACACACACACACACAATTTTGCATTATCTTGTTCATATGTTGAATATAAAAAAGTTAATCTAATAAGTAGAGGGTAGAATGCTGGATACTAGAGGCTGGGGTGATCAGGGGTAGCAGGAGCTGTGGAGATGTTGGTAAAAAGATATACAATTACAATTAGGAAGAATACGTTTAAGAGGTCTATTGTATGATATATTTTATTCTCAAAAATACTGGGTGATATTGTTTTCATGACAAAAAATTACTATGTGAAGTTATACATGTGTTAATTAGCTATACTTAACCATTCCACAATGTATGTATACTTCAAAATATTATCTTGCACACATACAATTTTATACGTCAGTGCAAAAAATAAATGAATTTGAAAAATAATGGTGGACTACTATGTGTCTAGGTATGCAACTCATAAACCTAACTCATCATCCTTGACACAGCCCACTCTGTGATTCTCCCATCTTATTAATTACTGAAGCACATAGATGTAACCTCTAGATTAAGGTCCACAGATGTATAGATGCCATCTTACTGAAGACTCATGTCACTAATCAACATTATGGCCTCATCAATGGCAATTTGTGTTTGAATTAAAATTTATTTGTCATTCGGATTCCAAATATTTATCAATTATGTACATGTGTTTCTAACTCAAAACCCACTGTCCTCATTCAGACCTTCAGTACCAGGATTATGGTAGCACTTCCCTCATTTTCTCTCACTGCCCATCTGCTAATCTCCAGAAAGCCACTAGACTAACCTATATAAAGCAAAACCCTAAAATGATATTCCCTCTCTTAAGACACTTCACCATCTCTCTATTGCCATGAAATACAGAAAAACTCCTTAATAGTCTCCAAAATCCCACCAAGATTTAATCCGTGCCACCTTTTCATTCTCATCTCAATGTCCTGCTTCACTTTTATTCCTTCACTTTACGTATTTCATGTTATTTGTCATCTGAGTTTTGGTTGTGTTGCTGCTTGTCTAAAATGCATTTATTAATTTATTTAGTCATTCATTCAAAAATATATATTAAAGACCTTCTTGTTTGGGACATAATATAAGGCACTAGAAATGACTACTCTAATTTCACTTTCGAACATTTTGCTCAGCCGATGCTAATTTTCTGGCATCACTTCTGCAAAAGAGGCTCTCCTAAATTGTCTTCCCTCTGCCAGGCTTGGTCATGACTATTACTGTGCTCTCTGTACTACACACATCTTTATATTTGCATAGCTAGTATTTTTTTTATATAATAGTAGATATTTTACTAACAAAATAACTGATAGTAGATATTTTACTAATAAAATATATTTAATGAATATATTTAAAACATTTTAAAATGCGTGATTCCTAATATTTTGTGCAAGTATAAAATACATAATAATTACAAATGCTACTTGTTACTGAAACAGCATCATGTTTTAATAATAACTGGATGCATGTCTTAGTTGTACTTGTAAGCTCTGCAGCACTCTTTAAATTCATCATGCCTCAATTTTTCATCCTTAATATCATGAAAATTATCACTGTGCCAAATATAAAATACGTTACTAATGTTGACATATGATTGTGTCCTAGCTCAAATTTAATGTCCTGTAAACTGAGGCAAGTGACTTCATTTGTCTGAATTATAGCATATTCATATATCAAATGTGGCAATAATATATGTCATTCACAGTGTTATCAGGATCTAATAACATAATGAACATAAAATATTTTGTAAATTATAAAGCATAATGGAAATATAATATTACCAGGTATTTTGAACTAACATTTCAGTGGTGGATGTGATGGGACTGCTGATGTACTGTCCATACCCTCTGTGTACCAGATGGCCAGTGTACTAACCCCCAAGTTGCTGTGAGTGTTGGTTGTTAATGGCAGCCTTCTTCTGGTCCTGTCTGCAAATTTCTCTTCAGGCTGAACAAGAACAGCCCTTGGTGGGAGCACGGACATCATCTACCATCTCGACTCCTCTGAGCCTGAATGCAATAACTGATGGGCAAAGGGATGCAAAATGCAGAGTCTCCTTGCCTCAAGGTTAGGCTACCTATGAGATGCAACTCATGTTGCAGAGCTTTTTAGTGATCAAGCTGAGACCCTGCCATTGCTCAGCTCCCTCACCTGCTTTATCCTGCTTCCTTCACTTCCTTTCTTATAGAAGCCACTCTCCATAAGTCACATACTCCAGAATTCTTTTCTCAGGATCTGCTTCTGGGAACGCAACCTAAGGCAGTGCTTTATGTGAATTAGCATCCTCCTCCTCTTTTATTTTATCTCAAGCCTCTTAAACTACTGGTTTAATGAGTATTGCAACAACTTTGGAGCGAGCAGAACATATATAAACATAAAAGGCCATTTGGAAAAAAAAATAATGTCAGCACCTTGACCTAAGATTTTCAATGGTTCAAAACACTTTTGGAAATAATGGAAAAGTAAAACTATTTCTGGATCAAGGAAAATATACAAAGAACTGGCATGCTTGTTTTTGAGGAGAAATTATCCTTAACAGATTTTTAAGTATTACTGTGAAAAAGACAAATAATTCTCTTGAAGGGGATAGCCTCCTAGATTCTGTCTCTTGACTTAATTGCATTGCTTTATCTTGCTTATTCTTAACTAAGGATTAAAACATGTAACATACTTCTTATACTTCTAAATAATTCAAAGTATGTAAAAAGATCTACATACACTCAGAGGAAAGAAATCATGAAAATATAGAGAAGGAAAATATAAATACATTAAAAAATTATTCTCTATAAGTAAAGTCCAAAATATTTAAATGTGCCTTTTAACATTAGCAGACAACTAATCCCATTATCATAATTTATTAACCAGATCTTTTGTTCTATGTAGTAATACACTGTGTTTCCATGCTGTGTGTGTGCGTATGTGTTTTTATCCAGTGACCTAATTTGCTTAAAAGGAAACTCTTAAAACTCCCTTGTTGTAATGAATAAAATGTTAATGAAGAGCTACAGAGAAATCTCCTTTGCATTAGCTTCATATTCCCAGGAACATCATCATAAATTTGTTTGCCTGGTTCTGACAAAGGTAGTGATGTTCAAGCTGCGCAGAAGCATAGTAATGCTAAGTGGTTCTGATGGAGAAGTTAAAGATATTCAAGGCACTGTCATCTGGGATGGACTATGGGAAGTTATTTTTTGGAGAAAGTGATGGATTTGGCTTTCATCCAATTTTTAAACATTTATTACTTGCATTGATAACTACATTACTAGGAACTTTTCAGAAAATTGCAAATTAAACCTATTCAAGCAAATACATTTTCATTAGAAAATGCAAGATTTTACATTGATGTTCTTTTTTTTCCGTATTAACATAGGCCTCACTAATTTCTTAATTATGTTGATATAAACATAAAATTAAATGAATTATAACCATAAAAATGTCTTAAAGCTATTCTTGACTGTACAATCTAACAGCTAATATTCATCTTGTTGTGTCTCGATCTCTGCTTTACATGATGAATGTACAATTAAAATTTTAAGTAATAATTTGTGAATATTGACAGCTAAAATAAACTGCTATGAATATTTTTCCATTTCAGGGTGGACAAGCTTAAATGAATATAACTGTGTTAAAATTTCCAAGTGTAGTTTAAAAAATTGATACTCAATTTGAAACTGAAATGTTTAAATCATTAAATACTCAACTTTATCAAAATCTAAACAATATCATGTTTCTGTTTCAAAAATTGATTTTGGAAACATTAAGATTATTATGGTTTAATATCAATTATAATCCCTCTGAAAGATATGTTAGATGACAAGCAAGTGACTACATTTTGATTTCCAAAAAAATACTCAACATAATGTCTATACATTTGAAACAAAAAAGGAAACTTGACATCACACTAAAATAACAATTAAGGAAAAAAATGTAAGTTTCGCATTGGAATGAAGAGTATATATAGATAGTTTATCTCCTCTACCATATTCTGGGGCTGATTAATATGTTTAAAGATAAATATTTTTCATATTTTAGCTCCTGGTTATAAAGCTCTAATATATTTCGGTTTGGGTTGCTTACATTTCTATCAATTTTTTCCTTTTAACAATCAAAAGCCTCTTTCCTCGTTCAACACTCAGAGGATCTGTATGATCACTGAGTTTCCACTAACTTCAAAGAAAATGCTTTGTCTATATTCACATTGAAACAGAAGCAAAACCAATACAAACAGGCCTATGGTATAAGGAACATATTTACCTCTATGAAATATTTGGGAAAACAAAGAAAGAACACGTGAATAGATTGAAACAGTCATGTTAATTAGTCATCAGTGATTTAACTTCACTTGACTTACGAAGACAGGGGAATAGGAAGTAATCCAATGACTCCAATACTGAGATATAATGCTCCATAATGTGAAAGTCCACATTTCTTTGAACTTTTTTTAAATAAATGTTTATCATTTCATTAATAAAAAAAATTCTGTTGAGTTGGCAAGAAATGAAGAGGAAAGAAAATAATATAATTTGATAAACACTATGAGTTACAAGATTTAGATATATTATTTTATTTAACTTTCAAAAAGATTTTATTAAAGTAACAGGATTTGAGAGTCATAACTTCACACAATTTGTGACTATGAGTATTGCAATTTGTAAAAAAGTATATCTGACTCCAAATCCTATATATTTTCCACTATATCATAATGCCACAATGTTAATAAAAGGAGAAAGCTTTAACATATCTTAAGGCCGATTTGCTGTAAAGTTATAAAGCTTAATTAATCATTAACTTTCAATTGCCTGAGTTACTAACAGTACTATGGGTCCTATAATCAAATAGTCATATGTTTTTTGAAATTGGTGAAAATAAGATATTGTGCTAATCTAATTAGTGTCCATTTCAATTTTTAAAATGAGAATCACCCAAAATAGAATGTATTCCAATTCTTATATAGAACAAAAACTTATAGCAATATTACAAAAAGTAAGTGCATCAGTATGAAGTTGCTTGACTTCTTCATATACTTTAAGAAACTTAGAGTTAATCACCAGTGACTAAAGTTTTGAGTAGTAATTGAAAATTTTCAGCTCAGATGTCATGTTTCAAAATTTTTTCATGGTAAAGATACTATCTTTGGAGGAAATAGTATATAGGAAAACCTAGGAGGTATTTAAATACTCATCTTCTTGTGATATCTTTTTGCATATGTCTGTGTATATATATATATGAGCACATACATGTATGACATACCCAGAGAAGCAGGACAAAGAGAACATGGGTCTTGCTGACAAAGCCATGAGGTCTTCATAGTGAGATTAGAATCAAATAGAGAAACAAAATCCAGGTTAAACATAACAAATAGAATGGAAGGCAATGGGTATTATTATTAAAGGACATAATAAGAAATTAGAAAAGAAAGATGTGTGTGAGGATGCTTACATTTTATAATGGCTGGAATCCAAGACAAAAATATAGATATTAGACCAAGTAAATTAGATATTTAAAATTATGATATTCCTGTGGCCTAACAGGTGTTGCTGGAAGTTGATGTACTGGAGCTCAGCACCACCACATCAGAATGGAAGAACCTATTTTCTTCAAAGCATGTTTAATATTTATTACAGACATATAGCATCATGTTTGACTAGAGATTACTCATGAATATGAATGCAGGGAAAATACTTGGAAATGGTAACATAACTACAATCTTAGTGGCCATATATAGTGATTATTATAGGCTTTCCTCATGCACGTATGTAATTTGTAAATGTTAGAATATCACCAGTTAGATTACTTTAAAACATTCATTTGCAGTGGCCTATTGTTATACGAATTCCAAAATATACTATTTCCTGATTTTTCATAAGAGTAAGATATTGGAACACAGATAAAATGATCAGATTTTAGAATCAGAGACTATTGGCTTTAAATTTATCTCAATAAATTTGTCTATTTGAATTTCCTGAACCAAAGTTTTCCTTGTCAGAAAAGTAGACAAACTAATGTACTAATTCCCTAGATTTATTTTTTTAAATGGCTTACATGATGTGTATGAAAATAGCCTGGCAAGTTGAAGACCATTAATAAATGGGAACTATTATTTTTCCACTCAGGTGTTCACTTAATTTTCAAACCTGAACTATCACTCCCCTAATTTATTGTTTTCCCAAATTCATGTATCTCTTCATTCACTGAAATCATTTATGTAGGTGTATGTTCATTCACAAAGGTGAATGAGTCAGACCTCTTGCTCACAAGAAGTCCGCACACTGGTTGTAGTTGCTTCATTTGCTTCATTACTGCAATTTTAGCCACATGAGATTTAGTTTTCTGCATTTTATCCAATTTATAAAATGGGGGACAATGATACAATTATTTTCTCTTGTAGGTACGTTTGTCCCAGGAATTTTAGCTAAATCTATTCAGCAAAAGTCACATTAACAAAGCAAAACAGAACACCCAAGGAAAAACAACTTTCATGAGCAAATGTCTTACCACAAAGATAAAGCAAGAGAGGTTCTTTCCTCTCCCCTCTTAGAGAGTTTAACATTCCACGTGACTGTTGCTGAGGGAAATCATACTGAGAGCCAATATTGTTGAGTTTATTTTTAGGTTTTAATATTTTTTGTTAGCATTTTAGTTGTTGATTTGTTTGTTTGGGTATAACCTGCCTTCTAACCAACTACCTCATATAGTGCTAAAAAAAGAAAACATTATCTTCTTAGAAGGCTTAAACACAGCAATAAATGAGATTTTTTTTTTTAAACGGAGTCTCTCCCTGACACCCAGGCTGGAATGCAGTGGACCTCTGCCTCCAGGGTTCAAGCGATTCTCCTGCCTTAGCCTCCCGAGTAGCTGGGATTACAGGTGCATGCCACCACGTCTGGCTAATTTTTGTATTTTTAGTAGAGACAGGGTTTCACCGTGGTGGCCAGGTTGGTCTCGATCACCTGACCTCATGATCCACTTGCCTTGGCCTCCCAAAGAGCTGGGATTACAGGCGTGAACCAGGAGGCCCTACCCAATAAATGAGATTTTTAAGGCAAAGAAGCTGACACTTCATGGAGGCTTATTAAATAAAATTATATCTTGAAATGAGGTATTCTAAAGACGGAAGGGGGAGCATAAAATTTTCATGAATTCAAGAGAACACCATAAAGCTCATAAGATTATAACAGGTCAATATAGTAGCAGAAATATTATGATTCTAAAGTCAACAGTAACTACATTTTTAAATACATCAAGATAGACAACAGGAAAGAAATAGGACTGTTGCTTAGGATATGTGGTATAATGATGCCGCAATGGTTTAAAAATGTGTAATGTGTGGAGTGACTGGAAAAGCTAAGTGTTTGATAAAATACCTTGGCAGTGCTGGCTGTGATCAATTGTTGGTGTGCTATCATGAACAACAATTGGTAGGGCAGAAGAGGTACTTACAGATAAAACTTATTGCAGTGTATTTAAGTTCAAAATAAAATACTAAAAATTAAATATACACAGTTTGCCAAAGAATGAGTGTATCGGTACTAGCAGCATGCAGTTAGAAAACGGACATCCAATTGTAGCAGTTTTTATTGAATGAATAATTAGAATACAATTTGGAGGCAAGACTAGATAAGCTTCAATATTTCATTTGCCTTTCTCTGAAAATATCCACTCTAAAATTCAAATATATTTGAGGTTGTTCTTTCATGTCTACAATTATATACATAAGCTATGATTTGTTCCAATGTCCAAATTATTAAAGAGGGTAAAAACATGAGAAGGGAATACCTCTGACTACTATAGTCAGTCTCAAGTCAAATTCCAGTACAGTGCAGGACCTAAAAAATATGTAATAAATAAATAATTGTGTTCATTAATAGATATTATTCTATCAAGCAAAAAATGCTAATTTCAATGAGTCATAAAGAATTGAAGACATAGGACAAAAGGATAAACAAAGAATGACAGGCTCAAAGAGCTTGCTGTGGTATTAATAAAGGGATCTATAAAAGTAGCTGTAATATGTGGTAGAAAGTATAAAGTGATAAAAATTACAAATTGTTATGGAAGTTCAGGATAGCATAAATCACTTATAGTGACCATGAAATTCACCTATTTGAACTGGGCTGATGGGAAAAAATGCATTTTATCAAGTAATAATGTTTGTAACTTTCTATGAAAGCAATAAAATTAATTCTTCAGTAAAGTTTCCATAAAATTGCAATTAGTTTGTTATTCCCAATTTAGGCGGCAGTATGATAAGTAATAGATAAACCAAAGGAAAATCATTGTCTATGTTCTTATCTTGGTTTATTCAGTCTAAATATTGTTTAATGAGTGTTTCTTCCAACAGCTATAAAACTGGGCATTCATCTACACTTTTAGTCAGCAAATTATAAACAAAAAATAGATGAACATGTGCCAGCTGTTGCTTTAAGTCTCATCTGCATGTAATCATAGTTCCTACTCTCAAAGAACTTGTATTTAGTGAAATGTTGAAAGTGCTCTGATAAAAGAAATACAGTGTTATGGCAACCCACAAAAAAAGAAATCTAATTCCAATATTGAAGCTGAGAAAATCTTTGCAAATTTCCAAAAAAATATAAATTTTCTTTTTTTATATACTTTAAGTTCTAGGGTACATGTGCACAACGTGCAGTTTTGTTACATATGTATACATGTGCCATGTTGGTGTGCTGCACCCATTAACTCATCATTTACATTGGGTATATCTCCTAATGCTATCCGCCCTTTCCCCCCCACCCCACAACAGGCCCCGGTGTGTGATGTTCCCCTTCCTGTGTCCAAATGTTCTCATTGTTCAATTCCCACCTATGAGTGACAACTCTTCAGGAAATTTTGGCAGCCTAAGAAAATGAAGCTTAGGCACTAAACTGGACCCTAAATCTCCCACATATTTAGACAATTGACAAAGTTATATTTACTGCCTTCTGTAAATAATGAATTATTAGTTCAGGTGTTTTTTGATGGAGAGATGTCTTTTCAAAGTTGTTAAAGATGTAGATGATGATGTTAGTAGTAAAAATGATACTGTTGACACATAAGGTATTATAAGATGCTTTAGAATAAGCTTAAAATAATTACCTTAAATACTAATGCAATCTTTTATTTTAGCTTTAATTAAAAAAAATTCTTAAAGGCCAGGCACGGGGGTCACACCTGTAATCCCAGCAATTTGGGAGGCTGTGGCAGGTGGATCACCTGAGGTTAGGAGTTTGAGACCAGCCTGGACAACATGGTGAAACCCGGTCTTTACCAAACACACACACACACACACACACACACACACACACACACACACACCCATTAGCTGGGTATGGTGGGGGGTGCCTGTAATCCCAGCTACTCAGGAGGCTGAGACAGGAGAATCGCATGAACTCGGGAGGTGGAAGTTGCAGTGAGCAGAGATCTTACCTCTGCACTCCCGCTTGGGCAACAGATCAAGACTCCATTTCAACAAATAAATAAAATCCTTTTAAGTTAAATTCTACCTTTTATATTAATTCAATTCGTTTTTTTCCAAAAATCATGCAGGAAAAATATTTCTTATTCAAATTATATAACTGACAATTAGATTATGTGATTTGTTCAAGATCATGTGGCTCATTGGTTTATGCTTCTACAGATAAACTTGGGTCTTCTGCCTTAATTTTCATCCATAGAATGAAAATATAACACTGTAAAAACAGAAAGTACAGAAATAACTGCTCTAAGATCTAGGAAGGTTTATATGGAATAAGAAATATTGACATTGATCTTGGAAAAAAAAAGAAGGATGGTATCGAGTTAGGTAGGAACTGTTTATATATATTTTGTATCCATTTCCAGGGAAGCTCTTAATTAATGTTCTTTTATGTAAAGGCGGTGTCATATGATGGACTAGTAGATTAGGAGAGGTGCTTATATAACTTCAAGTATAGTTATACCCAATTCAGGAATTATTTGTAACTGCCTGCTTGTTCCTATCTGAGTTGTAAAGTAAAGATACTAAAAAGGAGTGTGCCCACTTCTAGTCTAGAAAGTATAATTCTCTACAGTAAAGTTATTCAATTATCAGAAATAGTATTGGTTTTATCACTTTTGCCCAAACTGAAATGTATTTTTTTCTCTGGTCCTCTTATTTAAAAAGTAGATTTTCCATATAAAAGTAAATGAAGTGTTAGTTCACCAAGAGGTACTATCATACTTAAAATAGTTTTGTGGAATTACCTATGTTCATTTAAAGAAAAAAATGGGCCGGGCGCGGTGGCTCACGCCTGTAATCGCAGCACTTTGGGAGGCCGAGGCGGGCGGATCACGAGGTCAGGAGATGGAGACCATCCTGGCTAACACAGTGAAACCCCGTCTCTACTAAAAAACACAAAAAATTAGCCGGGCGTGGTGGCGGGCGCCTGTAGTCCCAGCTACGCGGGAGGCTGAGGCAGGAGAATGGCGTGAACCCGGGAGGCGGAGCTTGCAGTGAGCCGAGATCGCGCCACTGCACTCCAGCCTGGGCGACAGAGCAAGACTCCGTCTCAAAAAAAAAAAAAAAAAAAAAAAAAGAAAGAAAAAAATGATATACATTTAAACTGTTAACAGTAACCTTGATTCCAAGGCATAGCTGAAGAGTAAGAAAAGAAAAGCTCAGCGAATATCTCTTATTAATCTAGCTTTAAAAAGAATGAATAATATGTTACAACCTCTCTGACATATGGTGAGGTTTGCAGCAAGTTTGGCATAATGGTTTCACTTAATAAACACCTGATTAGCATTGTTTAACAGGTTTGGAGTGCATGAAAACAGTCAAATAGCAACATTCTGTCTAGTTAATTCCTCATTAGCCGACTCACAGTCACTGCATTTGACAGATTATATACCAGTCTTGACACAAGGTGACCTCTTGCTTGGACCCGTTCATCACCTTCCGTCTGTCATAAATGAAGTCAGTATAAATGTCAGAGTGAATGTGACATCACCAGAGACTTCATCTAATGCCTTGAAGGTTATTATTTTCCCAATATTGTTATTATAGACAGAGTGAAACTATATGTAGCAACAAAATAGGGTAATAAACCAGAATAAATTTGATTAATATATTATTGTAATAAAGAATGTGACCTTAAAAGAAAATTTAGCATTACTTATTTCATTTTCCTCTTATTAAGTATTATTTTTTAAAGGATGTTTAACCTTGAACCAGAATGGACAAGAGAGTTTGGAAGACTAATAGGAAAGTTTAACTGCTTATTAATAATGTTTTCTCTGTTTATTATATCTATAACAATGTCCTCTAGTCATAGTTTATTTTTAATAAAAAATTGCAAATATTGAGATAGACTTGAAGAATTCAACTGAGCTAAAAAATTTAAATATGAGGAAGGCTTCAAGGAAGATATTTTATGAAAAAATATTTGATCATTGTAACATTGAACATTTATAAATTCAGCATTTCCGAGAGAATACTTTCCAAATTCCAAAGAAATACTCCTTTACCACTTTCATCAATGTTCATAAATTATCTCTACAACAAAGTCCCCTGTATGAGTCACAAAATCAATTATACATTTGTACAACATTTATACTATTCTACTTGAGAAGTTTCTGTTTATCTGAAGGAAGGCTTTATTAATGCAATATGTTAATAGGAACAAAACAAAGTAGATGTAACACATCCTCGCCTTTTTCATTCCTCTATCAATTTTCAATACAAACAGGATTAAAAAAATATTCTTATGAAATATCCTAAAGCATGTAAACAAAATTTTGAAACCAGAAGGTGTATATTGCAAAGAATGCAAAATAATCATTTGATAAAGAACAATTTTAGTGCACAGAAAAGGTTAAAGAAAGATTAAGTTATCCATTGAGTTGGAAGGTTTTTTTAACATTAAAAAAGATAATTAGAAATAAATCCTAACTTCATTGTAAGAAAAGACCTTTAAGGTATAGACATAAGACATACGTATTACAAATATTTTAGAGATTTTTAAAATTACATTTTATGTAAAGTATGTTCTTCTCTTCAGTTTTTAAATTTTTCTTATTTACTTGGTAAAATTCTAAAGGACACTTAAATGATTATCATATTTATTGTTAATTAACTATAATGAAATAGTTATCGGGCTATCTTCTATATCTCCTTCATAATAAGTGTGCGTTATTTATTCTAGGCAGATATGTGGAACTTGGGAAAAAGGTGAATATGAAATGTGAATTAGTCTAACTAGCTTTAGGATCCAAATGATTCTATACATCAATTTTTCCTTGATAATATATACCTGAGCTAGGCCTTCTTACAACTTTGTAATATTCATCCTTGATACAGTTATTGGTGTAGTTTTCAGGAGAGGAAAGAAACTCGAAGTTAAGCAGCTTTCCCAAAGTCCTACTGCTAGTAAATAACAAGTTTGGATTCAAAACTCAGCAATATGTGATTCCAAAATTCATCACTATAACATATCTAGTATCCTTTACAACTCCATGACACAACATTTTCATATTTTCTTCCTGGCTCATTTTATGTTGTACAATTTTTTTTCCTTTTATTATCTTTATTGTTCAATAGTAGTCTTTGTTTTGCTTTCAATAATAGTTTTCCTACAAATGATTTTTGCTACATTTATATATGCATCATACATATAGTTATTTTCTTGGTTTGTTATGTTTTATCTCATTTATAGTTTATAAATATTATCCATAGAATCAAACATCTTTCGTTGTCATCATTAATTAAGTATAGCCCATTTTCCTTTTCCCCCAACTAATTTCAAGTGATTCAATATACTGGTGCACAATTTTCTTAATAATATGTGATGTATTACATCAGGGGCAGCTGATCTATAAATGCTCATTTTTTTAAGTACAATATTCCCTTATATGACTTTGTCAAATGTCATTCTTGAATGCTTTTCATTATTTTCTAATTGTCCAAATGTATTTTATTCATTTTTATTGTCAAAGACAGGTTTACCTGAGGCAAGGAGTTAAGGATATGCAGCAAATCAGATTTAAAATTTTACACACCTTGTTCGTTATTTTTATTGTCGTTTTAGTGATTATTTTCTAAAAATGAGAGATATTTATAAGTAAATGTCTTTTAAAAATAACGTTTTAAATAGTTCTTCAAATCCTTGTGAAATTGTTGAATAAAAGTAACCAAATTGCCCTTATTTATTCCAAGAAATCAACATTTTAAAGTAAGGCTTCAAGAATCCTACCTCATTGTCTTGATAGTATTAGAGGCTTAGAGGGAAACATAGAAAGTAAATTGTTTTATTTATGTCAGTATATTTTCTCAGAGTTAACATGCTTTATCTGTTTTTCATATTTCAATGTCATAGTCATTGGCATTTAGCTTCATTAACTTCAGAACTTTGGGTGAGAACATTTAAGGAACAAACACAACCTTCCCTGGTAAGAGTACTGTTTGCTGTCTCTAATTATGCAGGATAAACTTAAGGAACAACAGCCTGATCCAAAGAGGATTGCCAATCCTGTTATCAATCTTTACATAAGATTAGAGACAATTATTTTTATTTCACAATTCCAATGTTATTCACTCACTAATCCAGAATAATAATAAAATCTGAAGCTTGCTATAGTCTATTAGCTTGGCACATATTTATTCTGGTCATCACTCTACTCTCTGCTATGCTATGTGTGTCTGATCAGTCTTTTTTGTTCTGATCAACTGTGGGTAGAATTAATCAAACATCTCAGTATATTTGTATTTTCTCTCTGTCTCTGTCTCTCTCTCTCATATGTTGCTCCTTGCATTTTTTTTTCTTTCTTGTAAAGTTACAGACTACTTTGTATAATAATGCTAGGGTCAGACTATAAACTAAAACACATATTGTTTTATTAATGGAACAAAGTATTCTTTAAAGTGCATATTTTGTAGTATTAGCTTATTTTTTATTAGTATTATTTGGTTAAAATAAAGCCATACAACGTTTGTATGTGGAACATAGCTCCTCAATTTACAGACCAAATACCTATCACTGGATTTCTATTCTCAAAGAGATTTTATAGGATTTCAGTAGTTGCTTAAGAAAAGTTTTACAACACATTTGTAAAATTTGGATGACTCTAGTGTTTTAAAAATGCTAGGTTGTTCAAAAATTTTGGCAGACAAGTATGTGGAAAGGTCTCATTAAAGAGGTGAACCATTTCCGAATCTTATGATTGTCAGTATAGGTCAAGCCATTTATGGCAAGATGTGTATAATACATCGCGAGTATTATGAAATACTACTCATTTCTAATTCATTACAAAAATACTTTCCTAAACGTGCATATGTGTTGGATGGCAAGAAACCAAGTATTCACATCTAATTATAAAGGTTTTTCTGTGTGCTGAAATAGACTCTATTTATCTATCAGTGCAATCAATCCATGCGTTTTTCTTTGTGTCTGTCACCGTACTACCTAAGCACTTAGCAAAGACATTAAATTAGCCAAAAAGTGTGGAGTGGGATGTTTTCCTTGTCTTTACTACATTTATCTAAGCCAACCTAAAGCTAAGCAGACTGTGACTAATATTGGAAGCCTTATTCTTATCGCAGACAGAGTTGTTTTCATTCTTGTTATTATTAATTGGTTGAATGCCAACAATATATTCAGCACAGGACATAATTGCACAATATGTTCTTTCTCCTGCAACCTAGAAAGGGATCAACTGCTTTCATCTACTAACATTGATGCCAAAGTGATGAATGCCCTTTCATAACCCCCAGTTTCCTCTCCTGCCTCCCTTCCTTTATCTACTTCCCTTACCAGTTTTCCTTTAAAAAGAGACCCATTCATAGTTATTTCTTCGTTTTCAAAAAAGGATTGTAGAAAAAAAAAATTTAGAAAACTTATTCTTGTTAAATGTCATAGTATAAAAAGCATACGTTTATTTTATTTCTTTGTGTGTTTTAATGAATATATGCTTATAGTTTTTACTGACACATACATGAAAAATATCAATATAGAGATATATATTTAGCTCACATATATTTTATCTATAATCTATCATATGAATATTTATATAGACACTGTATATATTAGATTAGATTATAGGCAGAAATTATGTTGATATTACACTATACATACCATGCATGAGATGTTCAGATATAGAATTTTATACAATCCTGTTTCTTCAAAAAAGTTAATTTCCTTTTGTACATCTTATCCTGACTCTAAGTACATCATTTAACAAATAACATGAGTTACTTGTGTTTCTTTGTTTAGTTTCAGAACTTCTTTTTGGAAAGACATATTTTTGGCTTGTCCTTTTTTAAAGTTATATAATTCCTTAAGAATTGCACTTATTGCATCTAAAATCATAATGTATTTGTTAAAAGTAGGAAAAATGAAATGCATTACATTATTTTTGCTCATTGTTAATATGAATAAATATTGTAAAATAGTGTTTTGTGTTGATTACAAATGATCATGATCATTAGTAAATTAAAGTATACTTCTATTTTATGTATTATGTTTGGCCAAGTGAGAATTCAGACTGACAGGATTTACAGGGAACCAGTGGCTGCCATATCTAGGAAATCTGAACCATGAACAGTATCAGAAATACAAACTTTACATTAGATAGAAAAGTCAGGAGTAGGTAAGTCATTCTTATAGCTGTGGTACACCCATTATTTCTGTGGACGCTATCCTTTGTGATTTGTACTGCTACGATATTCTAAAAATTTTAGCTCATCATATTCCAGGACACTGCAGAAACTGAAACAAGCCTAGCAAAGGATTAAATGTGTTTATTAGTATATGTTGTTTTATTGAGAAACAAATTTCTAATCTCAATATGTCAGAAAGACTTGAGGATATAGGACAAAAAAGAAAAACAGAATGAAAAATATCTAAAGAGCTTTCTATAATAATAATTAATAAAGAGGTCTCCAAAAGTAGCTATAATTGATAGTACATAGAATAAAGTGATAAAGTTACAAATTGTCATGGAAGTTCAGAAGAATCGTGTAGGTAACATGATTATGAAACACATCTATTTGAACTGGGCTGATAGGAAGAAATGCATTTTAGCAAGTAATAGTATTTGTGACTTTCTATGAAAGCAATAAAATTGATTTTTAGGTGAAGTTTTCATAAAATTGCAAAGGTATTATACTACATATTTAATTAGGAAAAACAAACTAATTAAAATGCTTTTAATTTTAAAAATCTTGGAAAAAAATCTACTCAATTTATATCATAGATAAACCTAGAAACTGGATTCTGAAGGAAGCCAAAATGTAAACCTTTTTGTACAGATTTCCTATAAAATTCAACATTTCACACATATTTTGAGTTATAGGTACATCTAAATACAAACATGTTTCGCATTCTTGGTCTATTTCAGTACTTGTATCTGTTTTTTTTTCTATAATTTCTTTCATAAAGCGGAAGTTTAATAATCAGCAAATTGGTTTTATATTCAGAGTTCTATTGTTATTCTTTTAAAAAGGGATTTTTCCTTATATTTTTGACTATTTCTCAACAAAGGGAAACTAAGGCACAAGTGTATTCGATTAATGTTAAGTGCTTAAAATTTCCAGTCCATAAATCTTGAATGCTTAAAAATATTTGAAGTTTTGTCTTGCTCATGTAACATTTTGGGATGGTGTAGAGGTCAGAAGAGAGGCATTCTCCCACAAAATTATACAGAAACTCAGGGCAAGAGATGCTGTCCCATCTCTAACTGTGACTTCCAGATCATGCTAGTCATCTCATATCAAGCTACCAGACAGAAAATAGACTATAGAAGAGTATGTGTGGGAGGGTTTATGGACAAGTTCCAGAGTGGCACAGGTCACTTCCCTTCATGTTCTTTAAGTTAGATGTCATTGGCCTGTCCATATCAAACTGCATGTGTGGCTGAGAACTATTCGGTAGCTGGTACCCAGGTTGATGAGGAGAATGCAAATTTTGGTAACAACAAACATTCTCTGTCAGAGGCCATTCTTAGAGTCACCAACTAACCATTTATGCCCAAGTCCCCCGACAAAGAAAGGCATTCACATATTCTCTGAAGAAATCAATCGAAAGTTATTTACCTCATGTCTTAGTCTGTTTTGTGCTGTTATAACCGAATACCACAGACTGAGTAATTCATAAATAATGTAAATTCATCTCTAATGTTTCTGGAGACTGGGAAGTCCAAGATCAAGGGACTGTCATCTGGTGAGGGCCTTCTTGCTGTATCATTCCATGGCGGAAGGTAGAAGGGCAAGAGAGTGCATGACAGAGAGAGAGGGAGACAGAGAGAGAGAGAATCACGCAAAAGAGGGCCAAACTAGTCTGTTATAAGAAATCCACTCCCAAGATAATGGCATTAATCCATTTATGGGGGCAGAAAACTCAGGGCCTGATCACTTCTTAAAGGCCCCACCTCTTAATACTGTTACACTGAGGGTTGTTTCCAAAATATGATTTTTGGGAGACAAATTCAAACCATAGCATCCAGTAACTACAAAGAGCTTAAAGTCCAGTATTTCCAAAATTCCTAATGGTTTGAAGACTTATTAACTAGAACACAAGTTATCTGTCTTCACTTCCCATTATACAACAGAGGAATAGACAGGCAGAGAAAAGTATGCACACACTAAACTACACATGTTCCATGAAACAAAGAAAGAGGGCCATAAAACTGTTCCTGGGTCATAGCCATAATAGAATCCTGGTGTGTAGACCCTCTGCCATTTTCTGGAGAATATTTCTTTATTATACCCAGATTCTAACTCTAGAATAAACTCTTACCAGATTTTCTCTGTTGCCTCCTATTTCTACCCTCTGGGAGGTCCTATCTCATCTACTGTCTTTGATGACCACATCTTGGGTAGCCACAAAGTATATGTTCCTCTTGCGGTCTGTGCATCTTACATGACTTGCTTTCTCCTGAGGAAAGTCTGGAGATCCTAGATTTGTTTTATTCTTATAAGCTTCTCAGGGCAGAATCAAGGAAATAGGATTTCTTTTAATTTTGGAATTTATTTGATATTTACTTCAGGGCAGCCCTAGAGCCAGTGAATACATCCAAACCTTTTACTTGGCCTAGTTTTTAAATGTTTTATTTCTTTGTCCTTGTCGCACCTCATTCTCTTGAACCATGGGTAATAACAGGGGTTAGTGGAAAGGTACTGTCTTTCTTGTAAGCATCTCACCTTTGCTCAAGAGCTAGATCCTTAGTTACCTGTGTGTGTGTGTCGGTTTGTTTTCTAACTGAAATGTTTTTATGGGATTTGTTGCTCTAAAACTTTCATACACTTATATCCCTACTGCTTGGGAATCCAGAAACTGCTGGTTCTGTTGGGACCCTGGGAGTTCCCAACTTTGTAAACATTTTCTATTTCATTTCATTTTTCGTTTGCAAACCAGCCAATTCCTTTTTGAACCATCACTTTCTTGCAATATGTTTCTAATGTAACAGGTTAATAAAACTACATAGTGGTATTATGCCTCCTTCAACTCTTTCATTTAGAACCACACACTTGGAAAACACTTGTCTTCCTTTCAAAATGTTGCTGGCAACAGTTTTACCAAATGCTAGGTAATAGTAAGGCAGATCCCCCAGCTCTCCAATCTACTATAGGGTTTCCTTCTTTGTTGTTGTCTGCCTTTCAAAACACAAGTAAACATCCATAATTTAGGATTTTTAAAATATTAGGTTGGTGCAAAAGTAATTACAGTTTTTGCCATTTTTGTTTTTAATGGCAGAAACTGAAATTACTTTTGCATCAACTAAGAGTAGTAACCTATTTAAGTTACTAAATTTTCTATTAGTCAAAATAATGCTGGCTATCCTTACAAATAACAAGTCGAATATAAATAATAGCTCAAACATAAGGGAGTTTATTTCTTATTTAAATAATAGTTCAGAGTGAGCGGAAAAGATAGCAGGACAGGGCAGTTCTTTGTCATCAACTGGATATTCAAGAAGTCAGATATCATGGCATCTTCAGAATCTGGTTTTTGCAGTTACTTTGGCTTTCCCTACTGCAACCAGCTAGAAAGGGAACACAACCTGGAATGCACAAGGACAGTAATTGATGACCCAGGCCTTGAATTGGTACACATCACTTCTTCTCACAATCTATTGGATAGATCTTAGCCACATAGTCATACTTAATCACCTGTGAGAGTGCAAAATATAATCTGGCCGTGTCCCCTGGCAGAATTTGAGTTTAGTCTCAGAGGTATCCACCTATCCGGTAAATTAAGTGAAACTGGAATTCTAGTCTGTTTACTAAAAAATTTGCTTCACAATGTTTCTCTGAATTATAAAACACAAATAAATAAAAGCAAAATAATTTACCTAGTAGACCAGATTGAGCACTTTTATATTCAACAGTTTGTAGAACTACAAAGAGGTAATTTAATTTTATTTCATGGTATTGTATAAAATGGCAGCAAGTTCCATCACCTACATCAACATACCATGAAGCACCAATAAATAGTGATTCAATAAGAGGTTGCAGTAGCTTCTTTAAGCCTATAGCACCTCAGGTTTTATTGCTCATTGAAATAATTACAGCTTACTGAAATAAAGCATGTCGGTTTTCTGTTCAAGTGTCATCATCAAAGTTTGAACATACCCATATTTTCTCAAGAGGAAATATCTTCCCCTTCAAATTTCTTAGGAGTAAGCTGAAGATATTTCACTTTAGTATGAAGTTCTATTATAGCAGGAGTAACTTTGCCTACAATTTTAACCTAGTTTAATAGATTGTAATTTCAATTTAGATATTAGAAGAAAACCTTCATTATAGCAATGAACTCTCTTTTTGTTGCTATAAGGGATGTTCCTGACAAATTATATCTTTTGCTTCATTAAAAATGATTTTTTAAAAACTTTTAGGCTGTTAGAAAGTACCATTCAGTTTCAGTTGATATGAAATGGGCTTTTAAAAGTGCCATTTTTCTGCTTAACAAAATCAATAATCTTTATTATATACAATAAGCATAACCTTCTGCCATTTCCCAATCAATAAAATCTCCTCTTTCTTCATGATATTCAAGTGCCTTAGAGACAATGTAGCCATTTGAATATTAATTCTCCTAGTGGACCTCATCTCTATTAACTCTTAAGGCAGTAACATTTGTCTTAATTTTACAACATTTTACTTCCCATAGAACACATCTGGGAAAAAAAGATTATCTTATAAAAACTAGATATTTACCTTTTTCACTCTATTTAAATAAAAATTTCAGATTTTTATACAGATTCCACTTGTTGGTAATTGGAAATGTTATACTTACTTGCCTTTTTTAGCATGATAATTAACTGCTTTCTCATTTAGATTGGCTAAACAAAATGCATGCTGAATTCATTACATTTTCCTCATAAAGATCATTTATTAATTAGAACTTATATATCACTGTCAAATAATAGGATGCATTATGAACAGTATACGTAAATTAAAGATACCTGATAGCTCCCTTGAAGTCAGAGAGAAATTCTATCTCTTTATTTTCCTCTTATTTCCAGAGTATACTGGCTTATGACACTATCTGGATTTTGAAAAACAGCAAATATGTTAAAGGAACAAGTTAAATAAGTTTTTTTAAAATATTAAATAGAATTAATCACTTTTATGCTGTCTCAAACATACAAAACATTTGATCATTCCAATATTCATATATTCTAGCGTTCTTGGATGCTGAGTACTTCCTTATTATTTATATAGTATATTTCTATATGATTTATTTTATTATTTGGAAATGTATCAAATGAGTAAATATACGGCATTTAAAATTAAATGTGTTGTTTTTCTATGTCTTTGAAATTATATGAAATGCAGTTCATGTAAACTCAACATATAGATAAATAAAGTGAGGTCTAGAGAGATTAGATGAGTTTTATTTAGGATCACACAGTTACTTTATAAGAGAAGGGACTATAACACAGTTCTGTATCTCAAGCTAGCACTTTTTAAAATCTCATCATGTCTATTTTTAATGGAAACATATTAATCCTGAGGAATATAACCCTGCTCTAGAAATGTATTGTTAAGCTTTCCTGCCCAAGTTCAGAACCAGTTGAAAGATGAATACATGAAAAAACTGACGGATATAAAATTATTAGCATTATTATTAATAATTGTAAGTTGGATGGCATGTTCATGTTTGTTACATAGATTTAAAAAAAATTTTTGATCTCTGCTGTCCCTAAACAGTATTTACTTACCAAAAAGTGGCAATAATGTCTTTATTTTACTATCGTAATTTTCATCTTATACTTGCCAAAATAACCAAAGTATAATACTAAGGTTTTTAATGAGGAGTATTTGGAAATGGTGGGGGAGGAGGGGTATTTGATATTGTTATTATTGCTCGGGGAGCTATTGTCATTTGATGCCTGAGATCCAGGAATGATACATGTGGCTGAAAGCATGGATCAGCCTCACATGTAAATTAAGCACCAGTTGAGAATCAGTCTATGAAGAGTAGTAGCATTTGTTTTTGAAGAACACAACGAAGGACAGAGCAAGGAAATCCTACATCAGACTTCTCCAGTTAGGGGCAGAGTATAAAGAAAGATTCTGCCTATTTTCTAACAAAGACAGAACTGTAGATTTTAAAATATGGGAGAGGCAAGAATGGAACCAACTGTGTCTGCCCTTGCCTGAAATTCAACAATAAACCAACAAATGAATGGACCACCAGAAGCTGTCGTCTTTCTCCTGGGCCTTGGGAAAACAGGAAGTTAGATGTCCATATCCATTTTTTTTTTCTTTTCAATACTCATTTTGAATTTTTTCTCAAAAAACTTAAAACATAATTACCATTTGACCCAGCAATTTCATTACTGGTTATATACCCAGAGGCATGTAACTCATTCTACCATAAAGACACCTGCACGTGAATGTTCACTGAAGCACTATTCACAACAGCAAAGACATGGGATCAACCTAAATGCCCATCAATAATAGACTGGATAGAGAAAATGTGGTACAAATACACCACAGAATACTATGCATCTATAAAAAGGAATGAGATAATATTCTTTGCAGTAACATGGATGGGGCCGTAGGCCATTATCCTAAGCAAACTAAGGTAGGAACTAAAAACCAAATACCACGTGTTCTTACTTATAAGTGGGAGCTAAATACTGAGTACAAGTGGACAAAAAGAAGGGAACAACAGGCCCTGGGGCCTACTTGAGAATGGAGGGTAGGAGGAGGATGAGGACCAAAAAAACACTCATCAAGTATTATGCTTATTACCTGAGTTACTAAATAATCTGTAAACCAAATCCCTGTGATACACAATTTACCTATATAACAAACCTACAAGTGTACTTCTGAACCTAAAATAAAAGTTAAAATAATAATAATAATGGCAGTAATAACTACCGTAGGATCATGACATGTATTAAGGATAACAAGTGTAAAGAATTTAGCAGAGTTTTTTCTACATGGTTTGTATTTAACAAATTATGTTGAATTTAAATGGGCTATCATTTAAAAATTGAGCCTTATTTTTTCCCATTGGTCATGTTATTTATAGCACTCCTGTAGGGTAAAACAAGACAGTTGAAAAAAAAAAGCATACTGCAAATGAAAAAAAATATCTCTGTCAAAGAGTTCATTGGAGGGCGTTGAAACAGCTCTGAATGTTTTGGGCAGAAGGAAGTTTAACACAGGGTATTCTGATACTTATAAAAATGTTGGAAGGACTAGATGAACAAAGCATTCAAGCATACAGTGCTAATGCAGTTAATTAGGAGTCAGGGAGTTGCTTTGGTTACTACGCATAATGATGATGCAATTGCTGATAATCCTGTCCTTGCCATCTCTGCTTCTCGACACCATGAGTCTGTTCCTCAGAATTGGAATATAGATTCCTGCCACTCCTCACTTACCCCTTTATGATCTCGTTTTCTATAAAAAACATAAGCAGGAACAAGGCCTCAGCCTGACTTCTGTCTTCCAATCTGGTGCCATTTCTCTTTATTAGACAACCTAAACACAGAAGAAAAAAACCCCAAACAGACGAGGAAGTTGTAATGTCCAAAAAGGCAGTTGATAAACAGGAATAAATGACTGTTCTTATCTGCTTTAGTAATTTCTCGTACCCAAGATTAAAAGAAAGCCATATGCAGTCTCTCACTTCCTACTTCTAATGGTCACTTCACCCAACCCCTACCATATGATAGTAAATTGATCAAGGTGGAAATCTTTAACAAATCATTTCATAAATGTCTTACATTCTGATATTCTAACAATGATCTTTGAAAGCTGAATCTTCAATGGCTCATGCCTCTGCATATTATTTACAATATTAACTATATTTGCATATATTGCCAAACCACAAAGCAGATTTAAGTGAACGATATCTATTTCAAAAAAGTTGTACTTCTTATACATCACATTACACTATTTCCTTTTCTAGAACAATCAGATATAATTTCTTTCTTACTGTATGTAATTCTTTATATATTTTTTTGAAACAGGAGATCTGGTAGTGACAAGTTCTTAATTGTGTATAATATGGTTTGAGCCTCAGTTCCTCTTTCTTTTGAGGCTCTGAGGATATTTATTTTGAGGTCAGTCATTTTAGAAACTTACAGTAACACCAGACATTTCATATTTGCAGCTTAGTTTGGAGAGGGTATCACTATGTAGTGATGCTTGACTTTTTCTGTTTTTGTTCCTTTTTTATGATACCCATATTGAAGTGGTCACAAGTACAGTTCTGTCTAAGTTTGGGTTTCTGAGACCCAAAGGACATACAATCAATGGAGTTATTTTTCTTCCATCTAATAAATACACTTTATTAAGGCTATAAAATAGGTACTTGTACTATGATACTATAGATATGTTACAGAAAGTAGGTTAGCAATAAAAAGCAAACACTTTGAGAGAAATAATCTTGAGAGAATTTTAAGATTAGTTGGCTAATTGAGACAAGATGTTCTTTTGTCTTTTATTTTGGTTGATGTACTATGTTTATTCTTTTTGTAACCCTAACACAGAGGATCCTTTGAAACATTTTTGCAGGCATTTAATGTTACTTAAGTCAATTACGCTTAACCTTCAGTTATGCTACTAAAGAGAAGTATAGACCTTAAATACCTTACTCTTAATGTCAACATTGCCAGACAATCCTGCCTTGTTTCGCTAGTACATCCACTTTCCACACAGCAACACGACTAGTTCAGCACATCTTTTCCTCTGACATCTCAAACATTTCTTTCCCTTATTGAATAGACTTCACATCTAAAAATTGCATTATCATTAAAAAGATATGTGTAGATAAGCATTAATTCAACTTTACACCATATAATTTGACAAGTCAGTGATAATTTTGGCCATATCTGCCTTCCTTTCTATTTTGACAAAAGATGTTTCCTGACAGTAACTTGTACTTTCAGTTTTTCCAAAGATTTGTGATAATAATTTCTGCCTTTTTTCCTCCTTTAATATTCCTCTGCCTCCTTCTTTGCCATTGCCATCACCATCATCACTATTATCATCATCTTAATAGCTACTCTTTGATTGCTTACTATAAACCAGGTACTACACACACACACACACACACACACACACATTTTATTGAGTCTTCATAGCAAAGAATGATTTTATTTTCCCCAGTTTTATGATAAAGTCATGACTCTGTTTCACTAGATGTTTTCCCCATCTTCATGCAAGCACACGTTACAATAACTGATCCCTTTAAAACAAAGAAAACTTACTTGAACCATGTCTCCCTCCATTTTTTTCTGCCTTACAGTAAATTTCCTCTCATAAGCTATGACTTTAATCCTGTTCTCACCATCTTCCCATGATATCCTCAATAAAACCCAAAGAGGCTTCATCCTCACTACTCAAAAAAATGCCTCAATATTTTTTCAAGCATCATCCTTAATTTAGTCAAGTCAAATATTCAATTTTCTGTCATTGTTTTACCAACTCTCTTCACAATTTGATATAGGTGACTGCTCCCTTGTAGGAAAAGCTTACTAGCTATATTTCTCTATCACCCCATTTCCTGAGTAGTTTTCTTTCAGTCTCCCTTCCAAGATTTCTCAGCTGCTATTGCTGCTGTTCAATTGATAAGCCACCAAGGCTTTACCATTTGCTGTCTTCTCTATTTTTACTCTCTTTTTAAATAATCTTATGTTGTCTCATGGTTCTAAATTACATGGATAATCAGATATCTCAAAAATTGTTCATTCCAATTCAGACTTTTCCCATTAGTTCAAGGGTTATATCTAGAAATCTATTGGATACATATATTTGGATATTTAATGATATTCACAAGTGCAAAGCAGACCCAATCATTGCCCACCTCTAGTTCTTCTCTAGTGCTTGTTTTCACCATATCAGCCAAATAACTCAAATAGTTACTAACACAGAACAACTAGGGATCATCTCTGATTTCCATCCTTCCTGTGATGGATAGATCCAATCTAAGAGAAAGTCAGCTATACCTCTGAATGGATATTGGAATTTCTCCCCAACTCTAACTTTGCTTCACACTCATCTGGAGTGCTGCTGTTGAAGCCTCTCTATTGTCCTCTTGGTTCCTGTCTTTATACTTTGCTCGCCCTCTATATTATTATGCCAAAAATATCTGAGATATCTTTTAAAATTACAGTTAACCATAACATTTTCCCATTTAAAACTCTTTAACTACTTCATTTCTGTTTGAATAAAAACTAAATGTCTTACCTTAGAGGTAAGGGTCAACAGAAACTGCGTGTTAAGCACTAAAATTGTGGCTAGCACATAGTAAATGTTCATTGATAGAGTAATTCTCATTGTTGTTGTCATCATTGCTATTTGACCTCTGCATGTCTCTTACCACATCCTCTTTCTCTGGATTTCTCTGACCACATTAGCCTTCTCTGTGTCCCTCAAGTACTAAGCTTCTTGCTCTCAGATACTTTGCATCTGAATTCACTGTTCCTGGAAGGCCATTCAGCAATTTTTGCATGGCTTCCTCCTTTGAATGCTCTTAGGTATCAGCATAAAGGCCACCTCCACATAGACATTCTCTGTCTACCCTATCCAAAATGGTTGCAGTATTGGACAAAATTGAGACAGTTCCTGATCCCCTAACAATCAAATGAATTTAAAAAGTCAAAATTCACAAGTTTGATTTATTATTTTGTTTCCTTCTTCTTTCAAAGAGTTCCTTCTGCCAAGTAACTTCATGAAATCTATAAATTTATCTTAAGAATTATTCCCAATATCCAGAGTCAATATTGATTTTTCTTGATGATGAGGTGTGAAATAATTGATATTTTATGATCTTGTACTTATATTGAAAGAAAATTACTTAAATTTATTTCAAAATTTAGAAGTCAGAAATTTTATTAAAAATCTGATGGCATAATTTACCATTAAGTAAATAATTCTCTTTTCTATCATTAGAGAGATCTTTCTTTTTATTTTATATGATATAGTTCAGATGAGATTATTCTGTTTAAATTAATATCAAATTAATAAAATATTATTTTCACTATATGCTGTACTCATATACATTTTTTCAAATATGAGAGACAGTGAATACCAAGATATTTTATGTTCATATTTTATCTTTAATTCTCTGTTGCAACATTCACCACAGGGCATTATATCCTTTCTTTTCAAAAATGTGATGTTCATCATCTACTAAAGATTTTGCCGAAATGCACATGCTTTTCTATTAAGTTAATGCATGTGGCTATCTGAATTGACTACAGTTTAGGATATGCAAACTTAAAGAGCTTTAAACTAGTTTAATATTTAAATTACAGAATTACTAAGAGTCTTTACTCTGGAAATTATAATATATTATAGGATAAATATTGTGACCTGGAATATAAATAGCGCAGGGTTTATAGTTCCATTAACTTTAAGTAGAAACTTGACATGCAGCTAAATATTACAATCATTTAAATGGCTTGTTTCCTTATTAGAACAGGGGCTTTAGAGTTTTCTTTCTATTTCACCTGAAATCTGAAAATGCATTTAGCATCAACATTGTAATTTTGATCCATATCAGAATGCTTGTTGATTATTAGTTGTTTACATTTGCATTTGTTAAGCATCTTCCTTTAGTAATCTGAAATCTTTATATATGTGTTCCTTTGGCCCTTTTGTTGCCTTCTTAGAGAAAACAGTGTCTTTCATTATTTCCTTTGAATACTTCATCACTGCTTTCCAAGGTATTTGTTGTCACATGCTAAAACTTGCTGTAATTTTTATTGGTATTATAGAGCTGAAAGTTTCATAAACATATAGTTATTTGCATGACTTTCTAACTACTTGTATGAATGGTGAATGGCAGCTATTGTGCAAAACATAAATTTGCAGCCACCATTTGTTTTGCCAGAGTGGGGAACAAAATTTCCCTATTACCCTTCTCTATTTTCTCACCTTGAAGACACTATTATACTGAATACTTTGTCTTTGACAAGGCATTGAAAAAGTAGGTAATTCTTTTCCCTTCAAATTTTAAATGTTTGCTAAGGCATAAATGTTCCATAGCAGAAGTCAAGTTCTTAGTTATAAATGCAAGAACCCAAATGTCCTCGTAAACAGCCAAATTCCTCAGGGACAGAAATCGTAAGCACTAAGCTTTGCAAATAGCCCCTTAATAAATGGATATTACATCCTTTAGAAAGTAGTCATAACCACTTATTGGGAGTTGCCTGAGAAGTCTTTTGGCATATGAATCTTATATCACCAGTCTAAGTAGGTTGTTCTTTTTATAGGATCCATAATCTCTAAGTAGATACCTATATTATAGGGTCACTAGAATTGTCTAACTTTTGAATATTAATTTATAAAATTCCTTAGATAATTTTATTTAAACAATCATAAAACAAATGATTTCCTTTATGCAATATCATATCCACTAGTATCACCTCAAATCTGAATTATAAAAATATATACATGATTCAAGAAAATACATGTTTTAGTACATAATGTTCCTTTCCCTGTATTACCTAGGTAATTACTAATATATCAACTTGCCCTTAGAGGAGGGAAATGACTAAAAACTGTTCTATTTCTTCAAATAGAAATAAACCAATGTTATTTTAGTAAATGCTACTCTAATTTTTTGACTCAATATGAATAGTTTTGACATTATATTAAAATTAAATTTAAGTTTTAAGCTAAAAACTTTTTCTGGAAGTCCATGGTCATCCATCTTGAACTCCAAGCATGTAGGAAGACATAGGTAGAAGTATATTAAATCTGACAAATGACCTCCCATGTGCAAAGAGGAAATAAAGATTCATTCTCTGTGTTTGTGAGATCATTTTGATGAAGGAAAGGCTAATTGAGGATGACACACATTCTAAATCTAATTCAAATCAGCATTTTTACATGAAGACTCATCACATTTCCAATGGTACATGCTACCATAAAACAGCTTAGTAAAGACATTTAGAATTTGATTCTTGGAATTTTTTTAATGCTTCATCAGAACTGACATTTTTAGTGGTAATGAGTTTCCAGTCTCAGTATTAGTTCAGACTGGATATCCGTGGTATTTTACCCATTTTATTAAAAAAGAAGCTTTTTTCTTTAGCATAATTAAGTCTTATGTTGCAGAGAAAATTGCAACTAATATGCGATTATGTTTAGGAAACATGGGGAAAGTGCTAACACAGGGTTTCTCACAGTAAAAACAAATCACCTTGAAATGATTAAAATGTTAAATTATGAGGGACTCATCCTGTGGCATTAAAAAAAAATCATATTCTAAGACCAAGTAGCACTACTGTTGTTTTTAGAATGAAAAGGTGATTGCTAACTCTTAACTCTTGAAATGCTTCAAAATCAGCATTAATATTATCTAATTAACACATTTAACAGCTCAACACTGTTAAAAGACCACCTAATCCTTTATCTCCTAGGTAGTTTGGGTAACCCTACAAATTTTATAACATAGATGTCATTTGTTAAAAGTCAGGGTCAGTTGTATCTTGATGATATTTGCACAATGACAATTCTAAACACAGAAGGCAGCCACTTACTATGAGGTAAGAAAGAAAAAATATACAGGAGTTGCTACCTTTGACTATATACTACATGTCAATCACTGAAATTAAATTTGGAAATGGACATTTGTATGCAAGTCAATGCTTGTAAACATGTCATGTACAAGGATTATCAGCCTGCAATGTTTATGGTTCTGTATTTTCACCTATATCATGGCCGTTTGGCTTTATTCCAAGGGTAAAATGAAACATAATGCCAATCCAGTTTTGAATTTAAGAAAACAGTATTGTTTTTTTTTCTGAGTAAAATCTATGAAAAATTATATGTCAACTATATTTTCAAGATTTAGATTTTTGGGAGATTTTATTGTGCCTAAGGGTTGAACAATGGGCCCCTTTATGCTCTGTGCTATGTAAAATATCTCAGGTATTTCAATGGCCAACTATTGTGTATAGTTAAGCAACCTGTTTTCTTTACTTTCTAAAATTGTATTTACCTTTCAAATCAACTGAGTACATAACTCACCCACTTATATCCAGAAGGATTTCTTGAGCAATAAGCTATGTATTTCTAGATATAAGTAGGGAGAATATTATGTTCATCATCTATGATCATTTTGATGAAATGATGTAAAATTAAATGATTTGCTCACTTATAGGCTTGAAAATTCAAGAACCATGACTACGAGTGTCAACTATTTTTCTGGGAGCTCACTGCACCTCTTTGTAGGGCATAATAATCTACATATAAATTTTAATTAAATTTATTCAATATGTATATTCATCAGGTTAGTTTTCTGGCATCTTGTCACTGAAGAAATTGGAAGACATCATGAAATATGACTTGTTTTATGAGAGAGAATAGTTAGATTAGAATTTGGTAGCACCAGATAATATGTTCTTAAAATAGTCTTATTTATTTTAGGGTTTTGGATGATACCACACAAATATGGACAATGATTCCAGATCAAGATATAATATTTTTGTTTTCTGGATAAAAATTTAGCAAATAGCTAGACCTATTTCTTTTAAGTTTGGGTGAAGGTTAATTACAGGAACTGCATTAGTTTTAGCATCTTCTCTATTAGCTACAACACTAAAGATAATAATAACAATAGTAATAATAAACATCGAATATTTACAATTCTGGGCCCTGTTCCAAAAAATATATAATGTACCTGTAAGCTTCTTATCATTATTCATATTCTATATATAAGGAGGGTGAGGCATAGAAAAGCTATATAGCTTGATATGTGTCAAAAATGTTGTCAATGGCAGAAGCTGAGGTTTGCTTCCAGTTGTTCTGGCTCCAAGGCTAATATTCTGAATTGGTAAAAATAAAGTAATAAAAGGAAAACAAAACACTCTAACATCATGAGAAAATACAATCATAGTATTTTAGTTTTACGGAAAAAATAAAACATTGTTTCTTAATTTATTAAAAGTATAGTTTTGACATCTAGTATGTTCATAGAGCAGTAAAAACAACTCAAGATGGAAACGTTAAGGGCAACATAGGCAAGCGGTGGAAAAACCTTTATGCAAATATTAGCAGTGCAGAGTACAATAATTTGTTAAGGAAACACCATGGGTTGGACCTTAACCACGATGAGGATGAGTCAGAAAAGGTAACATTTTATTTGCTATTAATGGGTGAAAGTAAAGTGAGGATGAGGGGTGAATAACCTGGGCAGAAAAAAAATAGAGGCTTAAAAGTTTAGACTGTGATTTGGAAACTGCGCATATTTCAGTGTGGCTAGAGATAACATTAGGGTTTGGAGAAATGAAGTTCTAAAGTTAGACAAGAACTAAGACTTCAAAGGACATAGCACAGGATGTTAAGAAGCAGCATCACTTTTCTGTAAAGTGATGCATAGCTGATTTAGTGTTTCAGGAATAGGATTCTGGTAGCATAAAGTAGGGTAGGTAGATTGTAGGAGAATATTCCTAGAAGCAAACCAGCCAGGAGACTGATTAAACATAGCCTACTTGATGATGGTCTTGAAGGTGCAATAAGCATCAAGTGAATTTAATTGGTTTGGAAGTACATGTGAGCGTTGACTTGGTAATAAGAAGAAGACTGATTAGATTTGGGTGTGACCAGTGAGATCATTTGAAGAAATATTTTTGGATTCTGGTTTAGGCAACTTCAAGAGAATTGGGGAGTAAGATGCAATTAGGTGAGACAAGGATTGGGAAATAAGAGACAGTTTGAGGAAAGGTAATAATTTATAATTTGTACTTCTATCCAGATGACGATGTCAAAAAGGCAATTCCATTTATAGTGATACAAGAAAAACTTCAATTTAAAATAACTTAAAGGAGTTTAATTGAGCAATGAGCAATTTGCAAAGTGGGAAACCCCCAGAATCACAACAGGGGTGCTTCGTGGTCAGAACAAATTTATAAACAAAAATGGTAAAGTTAGGTACAGGAATCGGAATTGAGGTACAGAAAAAGAGAATGCCTACAGCTTGCTGTTTGCCTTATTTGAACGCAGTTTGAACATTCAGCAATTTATGACAGGCTGAAGTATGGCCGCTGGGACTGGCCAACACTCAGCCATTGTTATAGGTGCATACTATATTACGTTAGGTTTTCAATTTTGCCTGACTATTACGCTAGGTTACAGTTCATCCACAAGGACTCAAATATAGAATTAGAGAGTCCTACTCAGGCCATATTTAGTTTTAACAATTTCCCCCTTTTTGTCATTTTCTCAATTTTGAGAGATTGACCAAAACCTTAATCATTGTAAATGTACTCATGCTTTTGAAACTCACTGGGAAACAGTAGAAGAGTGGGTTTTGCAAAGAGAGAAGGACTGAGGATACCTCCTTATGCTGGAACATCTTGTTTACAGGAAAAAACAAAAGCTAGTCTGTTCTAGGATCTATGTGTTTTTTTTAAAGTCTTAGTTTGATTATGTTATATTTAGCACAAGTGGCTCCATTTTAGTTTGGTTTGGTTTGTTGGGCCCTAGTCCATGAGCTCAGTCCAAAATAATGGCTTCCCATAATTTTTTTTTTTTTTTAAATCCCCCCTTTTGGCCAAGTTCTCACTTAGGTGAGAGTGTGACCAAAACTTAGGGCCTTAGTGCCACTCTCAGTTACCATCATTTTGGGTTTCCAGTCTCAGCACATCATTCATAGGTTATGGTATCTTCATGGTAGCACATTTCTTTCAGCTTTTGTCATTCCAGTTGAAGAGAGATCATTTGATGTTCTAAAGATGGCTACGTGCAAACATTTTAAACCTTTGAGAGAATACAGCACACCAGGGAGACTGTTATGACTATTGGGAAGATAATAGCAAGAGTTTGGAGTATGCTCCTTACACAGAGTCCCCATAAACCAAACCATGTAAAATTAAATAGACTAAAGAATAAGCTAGATGAAGAGTCTACTCACTTGATTAAGTTGTCTTTTCATTAATCCCCTACAACTGAATTTTTATAATATACATTTGATGTATTTCTCCATAGGCCACAAGTGTCAGCAGCTGCACAGGTACTTTTCTGTTCAGTGAATGCTGTTATTTAGCATAACTTTCGTTTTTTTGTTTTTTTTTTTTGAGACAGAGTCTCGCTCTGTCGCCCAGGCCGGACTGCGGACTGCAGTGGCGCAATCTCGGCTCACTGCAAGCTCCGCTTCCCGGGTTCACGCCATTCTCCTGCCTCAGCCTCCCGAGTAGCTGGGACTACAGGCGCCCGCCACCGCGCCTGGCTAATTTTTTGTATTTTTAGTAGAGACGGGCTTTCACCTTGTTAGCCAGGATGGTCTCGATCTCCTGACCTCATGATCCACCCGCCTCGGCCTCCCAAAGTGCTGGGATTACAGGCGTGAGCCACCGCGCCCGGCCTATTTAGCATAACTTTCATAAGAGAATTTAAAGTCTGTTGTGTAACAGCAGTCTTAAAAGTTGAATTTGCTGTAGAGCCTATTGAGAGGGTTCCAGTTCTAATTATTGCCTCTTTTATTGTAAACCATGGAAAAAGGACCTAACAAATGATGTCCTTTTAATAGAATGAAGGCCTCCTGGCAATGTTCTCTTTTATCCATAATGTGGATTAAGAGGAGTTTTGACTGATTATGAGGCAAAATATATAACACCAAAGTTTCTCACCTGCATTGTGCCTTCATCTTTTATTTATTAAAGTATAATATTAGTCATGTATAAGGCTTGCTGAAAAATCTTTCACAAATAAAAGTATACCTGATAAGTGCCCATAATAGAACCACTTTTCATTTCTATTGTTCATAGAGGCATAAACAAGGAAAAAATATTCAAAGATAAGAGTCTCATAATAGTAGAAATCTTGATCTGTGATCTTGGGAAAAGCTGTTCACATCAAGGATGCCATCTTCTTCTGGGGATAAACTTTCCTGGTTAGTTTTACCTTAAGGGTTCCAATGGGTGTACAGTTCCAGGAGCGTGGAGACACCCTTCTCAGTTGTGAGAATATGAACCCAAGGTTCAAGGCTACAAACTTTTGCTATAGCGTGGATGGAAAGGAGAATTTTTCTCTGATGTTCTCAGAAGATCTAATCTTTGGGTTGTAGATTGTGAAGGGATTCTCATCAGTGAACCATAAGAAGCTTTCTTTACCTAGTGAAAATACACTGTAGCATAATAACCTACTGTCACAACCTCAGCCCTCTTGCACAGGAAAGCTTTTATACAACCAGAAGATATGCAATGAAAATGACAATTGAATGAAATCCCTTCACCAGTCTTTAAATGGTCCATCAGGTAGCCAAATGTACCTGAAGCTTTGATTGTCTTCTCAGGAATCTGGAACAAAACACTGGTTTTAAACTATTTCTGCAATTTATAAGTCACCACACCAACATATTCAATTTGAATTATTTTATATTTTCCATGACAAGTCATGGAATGCAGAACCTTTAATTACAAAAGCTTTAAGGACTCAAGAAGGACAAGGCTGTTCTGGTACTTCAAGAGTCCATACTTAACATTGGACTTACGTCCTCTTGAATACAGTTGTTTTTCCAATTTATGAACTGATAACTAATGGAGTATCATTAAAAATTAGTATAATAATATAATAGCACTGATAACTAATGGGTTATTATAGGTAATTTGATTAGACCAAGAAGTTCATTCAAATTGTATATTTAAACAAGTTTAGTATTGGTTGATTTATCATGATAATCTAGAGCTTGATTTGGAAAGGTTTTTTAAATACCAAAGGTTAAAACATTGGATATTACAAAATAGAACCTTAGGTTACCATAAGTCATTCATTTAGCCTAAATGATAACTAAAATATTTTCTAAAAGAAAAAACATTATTCTGATAGAAGACAGCTTTCCAAACAAGACCCAATGGGGATAGCATGAGGCAAATTGACTCTGTCTCCTTTCTTTCCCTTCCCTCCCTTTTTCTTTTGTAAGTTTACTTAAAAGGTAAACACAAACCCTTCATTATCTTTTAATACTACATAAAAATCATTTTTATAAGAGAAAACCAAATTTCATATTTCCATTATTATTCCATTCCATTTTTAATCTTAAATCTAGTTTTTAAATAACACTTTATAAATCTATTCAGTTTTAATTAGTTTGGCCATAAGGTAAGATTTTTATAAACATTTTAAAACCCTTTTCAATTTTTTTCTCAGAGCAGGACAACGTTCTAAGAAAACTCTGTTGTGCTTCTATTCCAGTGTCCAATATATGGGAAAAAATGAATAATACCATTTTAACTTTAGCCAATATGTTCACACATGGAATCTCTTTCTTTTTTTCTTTTCTTTTCTTTTTTTTTTTTTTTTTTTTTTTTTGAGACAGAGTCTCGCTCTGTTGCCCAGGCTGGAGTGCAGTGGTGCAATCTCGGCTCACTGCAAGCTCCACCTCCTAAGTTCACTCACGCCATTCTCCTGCCTCAGTCTCCCAAGTAGCTAGGACCACAGGCACCCACCACCATGCCTGGCTAATTTTTTGTATTTTTAGTAGAGACGGGGTTTCACTATGTTATCCCCTATGGTCTCATTCCCCTGACCTCGTGATCTGCCCGTCTCAGCCTCCCAAAGTGCTGGGATTACAGGCATGAACCACCGTGCCTAGTCAGAATCTCTTTTAATTAATTTTTATAAACTTTCCACAGCTTGCTCAAACTTCATTTAATTTAATTTAAAACAATGCTTTAACCCTCTAACCTAGGCAAAAATTTACATTCCCATGCTTTCTTATAATCTCTTATAAAAAACACATTTCATTCTCTTTACACACCTTGCATGTAAACCTATTTTTTCAGTAGTCTCAATTACATATTACAATGTTAACCCTTAGCAACTTTTATTTTTGGTGAAAACTTTGGTAAGGGATTTTAATTATGTACTAGGTGTGGAGCCTAGGACCCAGACAGAAATGCAGATAAAGTCTGACTCTTTCCAGCATCTAACTCCACGTGTCCCAGGCCTTACCTAGCTGTAAAATAGTTAAGCTGTACAGTTAAGGGTCATAGTGGCATTTTATTAAGCATTTAGGAGGCCTAATCACCTTTAAACTGTACAACATTTCTGGTATACATCTCTTTTCATAAATTGTTTCATACTTACATAGACCATGTACAACATGTTTAGACTTTCTGATTTGCCCTAAACATTCCTCTTTTTAAACAACCAGTCATTTTACTTTAGGACAAGAATTTACCACGCAACATCCTTTCTTATATAAAATCTCTTTTGTTTATAACCTTCTTTGCATAGCTAGGGGACATAGCTAATTCCATATATCCCAGGCCTTATTTAGAATTTAATGTCTCCAAAATAAATTGAATGATTTTCAAAAGTCAAAGCAGTTTATGACCTTAAAGCATTTAGCAAACCTAATATCTGACCTGCATAATTTAGACAAAAATGTCTTTATTTTATCAATAATCTTTAAAGCTGTTTTTATTTCCCAAATATTACTAAAGTTACATGAAGTAAAAGGCATTACAGCTTATATTTTGCTTTCAAAATATTTTATTTAAGTGCTTATTCTTAAGCCAATTAATTAATTAGGGCTCTTTTATATAAACACTGCACATATATAATTAGACAGACAGACAGAAGATTACTACAATAGTTGTAAGATTTCTCATTTGCCAGTTTTTAAATTTCTTAATTGGTTATTGGCTTTAGGTTGGAGTCCTTGGAAGAATGGGGCCAGGAAAGGGGTTTCCGGCACCTCCTGTTTTTACCAAGGAGTCAGGCTGTTAGAGCTTGAATATCCACCTTTAATTAAGCTGACTTTTAACCATAACACTCTTTAATAAAGTCCTTTTAAAATTTCTTATTACCCAATTTTAGCCAGGCCAAACAGCTGATATTTCTGGTTTTTGAACTTTACCAAAGGTAACTTCCCAGGTGCTCAGAGAAAGGAAAATTTAAGATAGTTCATGGAGGAGAAGAATCTAGACAAGTTTATGCAGATATTAAACCAAAAAGGACTTACTTCCTAAGCAGGAAATCAAACTCAGACCACCAGTGTGAAAGGCCAAAACCTTAGTTACTGAGCTACAGCACAGGGCAGTCTCTACTGCCCTTCCCAGAAGGGCACTTCTTACATTGTGGCAGCAAGAGAAAAATGAGAGAAGAAGCAAAAGCAGAAACTACTGATAAACCCATCAGATTTCATGAGAGTTAATCACTATCATGAGACTAGCTCAGGAAACAACACAGGTCCCCATGATTCAGCTACCTCACCCTGGGTCTCTCCCACAACACGTGGGAATTCCGGGAGATAAAATTCAAGCTGAGGTTTGGATGGGGACACAGCCAAAGCATATCAATATATATATAATAAAATACATGATATAGATGTTCCTTATGTTGGAGAACAAACATTATTTGTTTGGTTCTTTTCCTGTTTTAGATTAAAGTAAGTTATAAAATGTTACGAAGCACAATGAATTCGATGAGCTCTATAATTCACCACTGCAGGAAGAGTGGCATGCATTACTGGGTTTTGCAGTTATAATCATCTCATATTAATATACACACATAATCTGCTTTATGATTTTTTCTGCTCAATACATTCAAATTTGAAAATATAATATTTACAAACATACTTTGTGAATTAAGAATTCTAAGATAAACCATTAATAATAAGGTAAAGCCCAATGATGCAAAAATCCCACTTTTTTATCAATGCAAAATATTCTTTGTTTGGTGTGTAAAAATACGGATGCAGTTTCCACTTCTTTTTCTAGCCCTGAATCTTCAGAATAGTTTCATTTGCCTCAACAAATTAACTAAAAACTAATACTGATTTTTATAAGTTTTCATCAAGCAATAAGAGTTTATTTAAAATTATCCATGAGCAGCTCAGGTACTCAGATGTGTTCTTAGTGACTGAAAATGAACAATTTAAGCATCTTTAGTCATTACTATTAACCGAGAAAACACCACCAGTAAAAGGCCCAGTATAATATATATCTTAAGATGCTCCACTTGCAATGATTGTATTGTTCTTTTAAGGCTTCATTTATTCTTGACAGAAACAATTATGTGAAGTAATTATATCTAAAGTCAGGCAGTGTGCAGTGTTCAATTTGGAAGGTAAAGAGCATTGTTTGACTGTTGTTACCAGGAACATTCCTGACAGAGAACAAATGCTTACATCAATAGGAATCATGCACTTGGTAATTTATTCTTTTATTCGCATATGCCGTTATCATAATAAGTGCCAGGTTAACCATCTTAAACACAAGGACGAAATTACTAGAATAACATCAATGGGGGAAAGCAATAAAGTAGCAGCTCATCAGTATTTTACTTGCATGACTTGTTATTTTATAGGGCTTTTTCTTTGCATGACCAAATGTTGCATAATTGACTGGACAGAATTGTTCCACAAGATACCCAAACAAGATAGAAAGGCCAAAATAAACTGGCTAATACTGTGAATTGAAAACATTTAATTTGACCAAATTCTTCAAATTAAATGACATGCTTCTTAGGTATAAGTTATGTATTTTCTCAGAAACAAAAATGAATTCATTTCTTAAGGAATATGATTAGACACAAATTGTTACCTACACTAATACACAGTTTTCTTGTAGTTTGAAAGAGTTCAAAATTCCTCTGAGGTTGTCCACATTATAAGCCAAACTGACATATGAGTCCTTTACTTATATCCAAATAACTCCATATGCGATGCAAGTTTTTAAACAATTTATGGTATAGAAGAAAATAAAAATATTGAAGTATTTTACCTTGAATGTGTATTTTGTTTCTTTTCTACTCTGTTTTACTCGGTAAAGCTACTTATCTATTAATGAATTAAGTAATCTATTTTTATTTTATGAGAAAAGTTCATTTTGCTTTAAGAGATTAAAAAGTATTTGAGTGATCTGTATTTATTTAAAGCCCTATTCTGTTACAACAAACCAACAATTCTGCATCACTATGATCTCCAGAGTAGAAGGTATCTCTAAGCAATGTCTTGAACATACCATTTTGCCTTCTCAACAAAACTAATTTTTTAAATCTAATTTATTATAAATGACTTGATGCAGCATACATTTTATTTCATAAAGGTGTAATAAGGCCACTTCACACCAAAAGGCACTGGCTAAAATAACCAGATATTGAAATGATTTTTTCCTTTGTGTACATATTTTATCTTCATTCCAAGAGAAAGTGAACAATATATAGTTTTATAATATATAGAATATAATATTAGCTTTTCAGAGATATCCTTCTTCCTGTTATACTTCTAGCATAACTTCCAGTATGACAGGAAGAAGGATATCTCTGAAAAGATTCTAGATTATTCTAGAAAATGATTCTAGATCCCACATGTGCATCAAATACATGTGAGAGACCTTAATTTGGGCTACATAGATTTCTAGGATCCAGAGATTACCTTTAGGAATCTGTGAACTGAAACAGTGTGAAGTTTGTTGCCTATTATTTTTGTGGTGTCAGGGTAAGCAATTTTTTGGTCATATTCTCAAAGCTTTATGCACCCTAAACATTTATAATATGTATATTTGTGTTGTAGTTTTTCAAATTGAGAAAATGTAAATTCTTCTTAAAAGTGATTATATTTTTGCAAACAAAATTATATATGCTAATATTTAAATCGATTCTTGAAATTTAGCAAGAGAGATATTGTGAAGAGACCGGAAAATCTTAAGCATTAGACTATCTCTGGTTGAAAGAATAAAAATAAAATATACAAAAAGTTGACAGAAGTGTGTACTTCTGTGAGTTATACTTTATCCCTTCGAGAGGAGAGATGGTATGTCAAAAACTATTCCTTTCACATATACCAAAATTCCATGAAAATTTAGATGGTTAGCTAAAAAAAAAAATATTTAAAAGAAAGATTTAATTGAAATATTATGCATTGTGTGTACACCCAGATCCATAGCTATTTATTTCCATAATACCAAGGTAAATATTCATATTAGGCAATTCCAAATCACCTTGTGGTGTAGATAAAAACTTTTTTTGTACCCTAAGGGTATTAGGGACGTGAAACAATAAAATTTCTGAACATTGGTAAAATTTTCCTTGAAACTAATTCTATACAACTGCCTAACTATAACTATACTAAGATTATGACTATCTATGTATTTATTTATCTATACCCTCATTCATCTGTAACAAATATTAGTCACTCAGGTTCCAACAGCGTAGTTATTGGTGAAATGAACATGTTAGGTGGATAGGGGTAGGCATATGATGACACTTAGCTAGCCCCTGTTGAGAAACATGCAGATGACGTTGTGAGACATAACAAAGCCTCTCTAGCTGAACTAAGCTATAATGTAGAAATCTGAAGCAACAAGAAGTCATATTTGTTTGCTGTAGTATAGAAAAACAGAGGAAGTGAGCCAGCTGAGACAAAGATAAATAAAAATTGAAGGAGACATAGGAACTGCATTAGAAATGGAGACATTTGAAACAATGAATCTGTTTTTTGGTTCATATAAAATACCTAACCTTAAATTACATAAACTCTCTCACTTGATTTTCTTGCAATATTTCTTGTTTTGGCTGAAATTAAAATTGTTTCTTTAATTGGAACCAACAGAACAATAACTAATCTGTTTAATTATCTGGTTTATAGAGCCAACATTTGTTGGGAAGGATAGGGAAGTAGAAATAAAATCACAAAACTAACCCTCTGCTTTTCATGTATTCTTATTTATTAATAATTTCAACTTTTATTTTAGATTCAGTGGGTACATGTGCAGGTTTGTTACTTGGCTATATTACGTGATGCTGAGATTTTGGGTATGATGGATCCTGTCACACAGTTACTGAGCATAGTACCCAATAGTTGGTTCAATAACGAGATATATATACAGGAAGAAGTACTGCAGCAACTCTCAAACTAAGGAAGATTTAATATGATATATGATAAACTGAACTGTATATGCCAGAAACACAGAATTATGGGAATCAATTTCATTTCCTACAAAACTCTTAAGAAGCAGTAATAAGAGGAAATGGGGAAAGAGTGAAAAGAAAGTAAATACAAAAAATTTTCTTAAAAATCTTACTTGTATTTCTCAATTTATAGAAGAGTGAATGGCGGAGATTAGGAGGAAATCATATTAATATACATGATTTGCTCTTCAGTAGAACAAATTTCTCACTACCATGGAAAAATACTACTGACTCACCAGAATGAAACAGGCCAGGGATGACCATTTTATTTTCTCTGGCTTGAGGAATTTATATCAGAACACAAAGAATGATTGTTCGCATTTGTAATTTTGCAGCATTATGGGACAGACAATACTCTAAAATTATGAGAAAATAGAAGGCTTTGCTATGAAAGATAGATATCAATATTTATGTGACAGAATATCACTTAATGTACATTTATCATCCATCTATTAAATTCAAGACCTAGTGCTGGATTCAGTGAGCAGAGTGGGAAATGAGACTCAACTCCTTCACTCTTAGAGTGAAAAAAATGAAATATTTGACCTTTGTTTTTGTTTCACAGTAGTAACAATTTTACTATATGTATGTATCTTATTTTTATATGTTATGTATCTTATTTTACCTCAAATATACACAGTAAAATGTATTTAAAATAAATAAAGAAGCAAAGAGAAATTTGTAGGTGGTAGTAAATTACGTGGTGACTGAGGTACAGATTGCATGGTCGACAAATACTGCAGTAAGAAGTCATATTTATGGTCCCAATAAACTCCCAATTTGTATTAAAGACTATTAGCATGGTGGTCAAAAACAGTATATTTGGAATAAATGTTCATTTTTTGTATTAGAGGGAAGTGGTAATGGCAACTCTAGAGAGATTACTGCAAATCAAACTCAGTTCGGTAAGAATCCATAGAGTTAATCAAAGAACCAAAAAAGTAAATGGAGGACAAAAGGTAAAGATCAGAGACATCAGAAACAGGATTACAGATATGAGAGCATATACCATTAGAAAACTTCACTTCCAAGTTAGAACACAAAAAAAAATGTGTATTTAAAATTGAATGTAACATTTTTTCTTTCTAGAATTTGAAAAATCACACGTGAAACTGTAGGTCAAAATGGTACACATCGTGCTGCAATCAACATTTTTACATCATGATTATTCCTGAGATATATCTTAGTGATGTCTATGAAATTCAAGGCAAAGAATCTTTCGAGGACCCAGGGAGAAAAATGCAAGTGACACACAAAGGAAAGTAAACAAAAAACAAACAAAAACCAAAACAACAAAAAGGAAAAGACACATGAACCCAGGCTTTATGAGAAAATTCAAAACAAGAAGTTGCTTTTTCCAGTTTTTGAAGAGTAAAAGTATTAATAAAATATTCAAGTTATGTAAACCCAGACAAGTTGTGGTTGATATTACTTTTAAAAAAGCTAGTCTTAGGAACGTTTTTCAGAACATCTCAAAGAAAAATTGAAAGAGCTTCTGCTGAAAGTGGATTTGTCATTTCAAAGAAGAAATTATCAAATAGTATAACCAAATAAAAATTGGAAGAGCAGGAAGAATTTAGAAAGAAGAGTAAAAAATATTTTGAAAAGAGAGAAAAAGAAAAGGTCAAACCTATCTTTCAACCTATCCTTGAGGATGTCATCTAATATCGTTCGATAGTATGTTTGCATTAATGAGGTTGCCTAAGACCTCCCTGATTTTATGTCTGCCCTATCAATAAGTACATCAAAGTCTTTGGTGACATCTGCCGAGTAACTGAGTTCTGCAATCTATCAGAGCTAACATCTGGATCCCTTGAATCCTGGAAGCAATGGTTAAATAAATTATCATCCATGGTTTGGCAATAAATTGATTTAACTTAATTCATTTTAAAGGGAAGGCAATTTTACCTCCTGATTTTCAAATCTCCTTGTACTCACGTTTGTTAAAGACCACTTTATCTCCCTTTAGCTCATTTTTGTCTGTAATAAATATTAAGTGTTGATAATGGAGGTTTAAGGTATATCATCTTTTTTATTCAGGAGGATAGACATTTTAATGTAGATTTTCAATTAATAAATATTATCTCCAATATGTAAACATTAAATGCTCATTTTATAGATTAAAAAAGTAGATACTTAGTGATTTTTATCATAAATATAATAAAACCAGGATTTTATTATAAATTCTATATGTTCTGAAACATCATTCTTCTTTCTCAGTCTTCTGCATACATGACCTGTCATCAAGAAACTTCAATAGTGCCAAGTGAGCTTAAGAATACTATTTTAAAAATATGCTGTTACAAACCAATGATGGTTTATGTGCATTAAGGTATTGATGTTAAATTTGTCTAAAAATTTACATCATTTTAAATAATTTTTGTAATATGAGTATGTTCTCAGTAAATTCAGTTAAAAAAGAGAAACAGTTGCTTATTTGTTGAAAAACAGTAAAATATATATAATTAATATTTTTAAAGTATATGAAAAGAAGACTAAGGTAGAAAAAGATAAAATGATTGACAGAGCAAGGAAAGAGGTAGGGGTGGTGGAGACATTAGAAAGCACTGGCATCTGGCTGATTTCTGCACAGGGCCCACTGTCCACCCTGAGTGAAGTTAAGAACCTGTGATGGATAATCGTTCTACACCTGACCTTAAATTTATTTGACATTATCTCCAGTGCCCTTTGCTGCAGCTCATGACATGGACATAGTTATCAGTCGGCTTAGCTTAAATCTAGAAATAATATATTCAGAAACGTCAATATCTGACCACTTCCCCTTATCCTTCTAAGCTTTTTTATTTAACTACTCTGACTTCAGTAAAATCTCAATTCCATCTTACATTCATCTCTTTCTTGTGAGTGTGGTCAACAATTTGTCTCATTACTTTTTCAGTCTAACTTTTTCATGACTTCTCATCTTCAAAGAAATACAAATCTCTGCCTTGTCTTGATCTTTACTCGGGGGGGCTAAGCATTCCTAAAGAAAATTGGACAACTCTACACATCAGCATCTTCTCCAATGCATAGTCAACCATTCTACAGCTCCAACTGTTGGATTTAGATTGCTCTCTCACCCTTAATCTTTAGCTATATCATATATTTTCTCTATTTCTTAAATACCTGTGCCTGACCTCTCCATCTGACTACTGATCTTATTAGATGGCTTCAACACTCACCACGCTGCAAAAATAGTGACAGAAAAACACACCCTAAAGGTCATGTAACTAATTGCACAAATTCTTGGTCTGCATTTACAGTCTCCCTTTCTTCTTTTTTCCCCATATGAAATGGAAAATATATACTCTCTTCGTAGCCTGCCATTGCTATCAAATTTTCTCTCTCTCTCTGTCTCTCTCTCTCTCTCTCGTGTGTGTGTTCCTACCTCCGTGGCTTCCACTTATCTTTTGATAAACTTCTGTTCCTCATATAATTTCGTTGTTGTTCTCATTACACTACAGAAACTGTTTTCATCTAGATTCTAACTAAGCACCACGTCCATCATCAAATCACTCCATTTCAGTCCTTATTGTACTTGAGCTCAAGTAACATTCAGCCTCATTTTCCTATTTCTCCCTTTTGAATCTCTGTGTCCTGTATAGCCATGCCATTAGACTTGCCTAGTTTTTCTTTGACTACTCTAGTAGCTTTTTCCTTGACACTCTTTTTCCAGAGCTGTCTTCCTGTTTCACTTTCACAGTTGCTAAGATTCCTCTGGATTATAGTCTAGGAACACTTTTCTTCTCACTCTACAAATTTCCTTTGATGACCTTCATCCAATTTCAGGTATTCAGTAATAATTATATACCAATGACTCCCTAATCTAACTTGGGGAACTTTCCTCTCTCCTGAACCATATCCACCTAGATACTACACTTCTCCATAATTGCAAAACTAAAATTTTTATTTGAATTAACCATTCACCATTTCCTCCACTGCCATCTTCAACAGTAATAAGAAATAAAAAATGATAACTTCATATAACCTGTTATCCAGGCTTAAAATAAATCAAGTTATGAAATTTTCCTCTTCTCCTCATTCTCACATCCAGTTATCAATTCCTAACTGCATGCTCCAGTTCTCTCTCAAGCCCATCTAATTCTTTTTATCTCCAGAGTCACTAACTGGATTACATCTCCAATGCCTCTAATCTGCCCCCAGCCCTCACCTTTACATATAATCACTATCTTGTCGCCTGTATCAACTTTTCTCCACTCTGTTCTATAGCAAGATAGTAAGAGCACTAAATCCGGAATCAGAATACTTTTACAATTGAATCCTGCCTGTCCTACTTGTGAGCTCGTGAGACTCTGGGAGATAGAGATATTCACTTCAATGTATTTTATTACATAAAGTGAATGATATTCACTTTATCATGAAGCTATTGGGAGGTTATATAAGATAAAAGCTGTATGAAAATGCCTAAATCATGACCCTTGACATTTAATCTATAAATACTTCCTCTTGCTAACATTATTATTATATTAAAACAGAAATTTCTACATACTGTTCCCTTGCTTACATCTATCTGATCACTGGCTTCTTCTCATCTTTGGGAAAAATCTCAACTCCTAAACATACCTAATAATCCCTTGAAGTCTGCTCGGCCTTCTTAGCTCTCCAGCTTCACGACTGAGGCCCGACCCACTCATGTTATTTGCATACTCCCAACAGTGCATTTCTCTCCATTCAGAAATGGGACAGGAGAAACTGTTTGAGGCAATAACAATGAGTAAGGCTTTTGACACAGGAAAAAGTTTGGCAATATAAAAAAACCAGAAAGGAGGCTGTCATGGCTCAACTGTAGGAAGTAAGAAGATTCTGTTGAATTTATAAAAAGCTTCCAAATCATTGAAAACTTTTAGGTCAAGGATTCTCTTCCTTAGCACTACTGATATGTTAGGTCAGATAATGACTTGCTGTGGGAGACCGCTCTGTGTATTTTAGGATGTTTCACAGTATCCTGGCCCTCACTCTCTGGATATCAGTAACACCTTTCCAGATGTGACTATCAAAAATGTCCCCACGTATTGCCAAATGTCTCCTAGGATGAAAAATTACCCTTGGTTGATAATTACTCTTATAAGCTAAAGAGTATGATAATTTTTAATCTAGAAGGGGAAAAAAAGGGACTGTGAAAAATTCGAAGGAATAGTGACATGTTCTAATTTACGTTCTATACAACTCACTTTGACAATGAGGTTGGAGAGGCTTTCCACAAAAACATTGAACCCTTACAGATTGGTAATAAGATTTGATGATTTATTATGAAACAGGTGCCATATCCTCAATTAACAAAAAGATATCAAGGAAGTCTCCTTGACGTGAAGAGACAGGAGCATAGAGATAAGGAGCACTGTGGCAGTTTGTAGAAGTCTCAAAGGAGAGAAGAGTGTTTTAACTGAGGGCAAGAGGAGTGATTATCCAGGAGCAGCAGTGGAGTGGTTGGACAATACTGTCCCTGCTCTTCACGGAGGTACTGAGGTTCCAAAAAGCCCTCCACTAGAGAATGCTAAAGAGCATTTTTTTTTCCCCCGTGGGATGAACTGCCCACTCATCCCAAAGTGATGATGTGAAGGTTGCCCATATAGTTTTTTTTTACATTAAACTGGGATTCCTGGCCGGGCGCGGTGGCTCACGCCTGTAATCCCAGCACTTTGAGAGGCCGAGGCGGGCGGATCACAAGGTCAGGAGTTCGAGACCAACCTGGCCAATATGGTGAAACCCTGTCTCTACTAAAAATACAAAATAATTAGCCGAGAGTGGTGATGCATGCCTGTAATCCCAGCCACTCGGGAGGCTGAGGCAGGAGAATCACTTGAACCCGGGAGGCAGAGGTTGCAGTGAGCAGAGATCACTACACTGCACTCCAGCCTGGGCAACAGAGCGAGACTCCGTCTAAAAATAAATAAATAAATAAATAAATAAATAAATAAGTAAACAAACTGAGATTCCTGTGGGTATAGCAAAAAACAGAGAGAGTTCAAAAATAGGAAGAATATTAAAAAGGAATTTAGAGCAATGTGTTGGTGAGAGTAATTGGTAGATAGTTGAGGATTGATTTTATATTGTCACTAAAATGCAAATATGGTCATGTTATTCTCCCAAGAGAACCCTTCTCTGGCTTCCATTACCGTCAGGGTAAAAGGAAACTCCCTCTTGTGGTTTATGGGGTTTGAATATGCTGAGTCCCACTTACCTCTATAGCTCCCAATCATTCCATAGGTGCCTTAGAACCTTTGCACTTTCTTCAGTTTCCTCAGATTTACGTTTAGTGAGAGGGGGCATATTAAATTAAAGAGTAACTTATGTTAAGTGATAAGATAAAAATTGAGAATGATGAGTTGGTGAGTCCTTGGTTTCTATTTTAAATAAGGAGATCAGGGAAAATTTCAGTGTCAAGTGATACTTGAAAGTGGGGATGGCCGGGCCTGGTGGCTCACGCCTGTAATCCCAGTACTTTGGGAGGCTAAGGCAGGCAGATCATCTGAGGTCGGGAGTTCGAGACCAGCCTGACCAACATGGAGAAACCCCATCTCTACTAAAAATACAAAATCAGCCAGGAGTGGTGGTGGGCACCTGTAATCCCAGCTACTCGGGAGGCTGAGGCAGGAGAATCGCTTGAACCTGGGAGGCAGAGGTTGTGGTGAGCCGAGATCACACCATTACACTCCAACCTGGGCAACAAAAGCAAAACTCCATCTCAAAAAAAAAAAAAAAGAAAAAGAAAAGAAAAAAGAAAGCAGGGACATGGTTAGCCTATCCCTCAAGGCATCCGTGTCCCAGCATGATTGGAGGCAAGATTGTGTGGAAGATGGGGCTAGCATAATGCTGAATTATCTTGTAAAGGTCAAATAGCCAGAACCTGTAAAAAAGTAGTTGATAGTGAATAAAGGATCATGAGTTTAAAAATGGTACTCACACAAAGATATTCAGAATCAATGAAAGCTAAGCTCAGCATCTGTTATTTCTTTGTATAGCTTTTATTGCTCTTTAAAATTACATATTTAGTGTGCTTTGAGATGTTATTGTTGCTGCAATTTTATGTTTTAATACTCAACTAGGTCATATCTCTATTAGATCAGGATCCAAAGCTCCTTGCCTAACTATTGCTCAACCAAGTACCTAGACTTAAGTAGGTTCTTCCCTAATATTTGTTACTATATAAGACTATTTAAGGTCATAAAATGTCTACAATTAACCAAACTGTGTTACTAAATAAACTACAAATTATAGTGTTTATTATAATTTAGATATTTCATATGAAATAATTGCAATGCTTGTGAAAGTGAAAAGAATTTGTGATATGGTTTCACTGTGTCCCCACTCAAATCTCATCTTGAATTGTAGTTCCCATAACCCCTGTGTGTCATTGAGGGACCCAGTGGGAGGTAATTGAATCATGGGGTGGTTTTTCCTGTGCTGTTCTCCTGATAGTGAATAAGCCTCATGAAATCTCATGGTTTTATAAAGGTAAGTTGCCCTGCACATGCCCTCTTGCCTGCCACCATGTAAGATGTGCTTTTGCTTCTCCTTTGTCTTCTGCCATGATTGTGAGGCCTCCCCAGCCATGTGGAACTGAGAGTCCATTAAGCCTCTTTTTCTTCATGGATTACCCAGTAGCAAATATTTCTTCATAGTAGTATGAAAATGGACTAACACAATAGTATATATATGAAGACACTAAGAAATCATTTTTAAAAATAAGAAATAATTTAAGAAAAATTATCCAGATTGTTTATGGTTATAAATCTAGAATATTAGAAAATTTAACCCAGATCTCCAAAATTTACACTCATATCGTTACATTCCATAGCCCTTTATTATAGACAGGAGTTTGCTTTTAGAAACCCATAGCGAAATTTAATATTGTACTGCACATGTTCTTTTTATGTATTTTCTTTCAATAATTCTAGCTTTACTCATAAAATTTCAAGTACACTGGGACAGATAAGAATTAAAGCTGAGAATATAAACAAGAAATTCTGGTTAGCATAAGAGTAGTTGTACTTGAATGTGACTTTGAGAAAACTTAATAAAATCATAGATCTTTTTAGACCTCATTTATTAACTGAGTATTGTATGCACATACACACTGTTTTCCTTTCTTCTACTTGTTAGTTTTTTATAAAATTCTATTGGGAATGAATATTGATAACCTATCATAATTTTCACCTGAAAAATCATCTTTCATATTGTTCTTGATTTCATTGCCTCTGGACTTAACATTTCCTCTTTGAATATCTGTTGCATTATTTTATTAAGTATTGATGTCATTTTTCAAAGTTATTTGAGATCACTCTTTTTAACTTTTAAAAATAATCAATACAGCGTTTGTTACCCTCCATTCTTTCTTGTCTCTCTGGAACCCAAGATTTTTTAAAAATATTTTTAAGTGGTTTAGTAAGTAGGTTAGCTAATACTTTTAAAAACGTAGTACATAATCCATCCATCATTTATATTTGCTGTGCATGACACCCTTCATGCAAACATCTCAGAATGCTTTTTCTGTTTTTACTATATAACAGAATATACAATTAAATGGCAAGTTGCAATCAATAAGTCTAGACCTGATTTAAACTTAGCCAACTTTTTGTATCAATAAATATAAAAGTAAAACAATAACAAAAAGTAAAAGCAAGGGTAAGCACATTATTATCGTCCAAAATCACAGAAGCCCAACAAGATATGAATCCAGCAAAGCTTTGTTTTGTGTGTCTTTAAAAAAATTGAAAAAAATCATATCAAATATTTTTTTCTTGGAGTATCCATTAGGATAAAATAAAAATTGTTTTATTCCATCTCTTCAAATAAATTACTAAAAATCCAAAAAAGCATGTAGATTCTACATCTGCTGTCTTATCCAAAGACTTAAGGACGTTGTCTCTCTGGATGGGGAAAGATAATTCCTATCTTCTAGACATTCTTTCGGGAATAGATAGGAAGCCTTCAATGGCATTTCGGTGCAAAATCATAAAATTGTATTGTCTTAAAAGACTTTATAGATGAAGCTTTCAGAGAAGCATGAAATCATCTCAAAGATAGTCACCAACTTCAAGCTAGTGAACTTTTACCCAAATAGTTTATAAGGCAGGAAAAAAGAAATTCTAGGGCCAACTGATTTTTTTCCTCCTTCAAATTGATTAACTATCCTTTTTTACCTGTCAATAGTGAACAGATCCAACATAAAGCATTACTTGCTAAAAGAACCATATAAGACAGTTAACTTTTCATATTTTACTCTTTCTTGAAAGCTAATAATGCTGACTTATTTTGATCCTTTAAAAATGCACGTTTAAAATAGGATTTGTTATTTGTGGTAGCTCAGGCATCAACAAGGACAACAACTTTAAAGCAATTTGTTATTGACCTCAAACACAAGTTGGCTAGGTACATAGTGACCGAACCAGACCTGAAAAACTGGATTTTGACACGGTATCTAGCTTGCGGGTGGACAAAAATTAAATATTTAACTATCTTATTTAACAGTAATAAATGAGACATAATTTATACTCATAAGAAAGACTAGCAAAATTTTTCATTATTTGTTCTAAAATCCTGTCTCCTCCTCGTCCTCTTACTATCTTGTATTTCTTTTTATCCCCTTATTGTGAATTCACCTTAACCTTAACAGATGTCAATACTGGTTCTGACTTCCCCAAAGTATCCACTTTTCCCTCTTAGACAATCTTATAGCACTATCTATCTTTCAGAACACTTACCACTGGTGTGAAATCGAGGATGATATAGTTTTATTTGGAATGATCTCTCCAACTGAGGGAGAAGAGAGAACGTATCTGTTTTGCTCTGTAAGTCTGGGGCCTAGAACAAAGAGGTGTACATAATAACTCCTCAATAAACATGTGTAGAATTGATATCTTCTACTTTTGCCATCCGAATTACTTTCTAGAATCTCCTTACAAATGGCTAGTCCACAGATAATACAATTCACTATTGTTTTTCGGCGCTATAGTCCGTTTATTTTTCTAGTTTAAATAAGGCCCTGGCTTGTTTTGTTTAATTTTTTAAATCAGATGATATTTCAGCACTTTCTTTATGTAAAAAATATATAAGGCCAAGAATTTGAGGTTGTGGAGAAAGTTAGAAAATGAGACATTGCTCTCACTTTCTCCCTTTAATTTAGCACAGATTTTCTCTTCAATCTGTGCACAGAAGTTGCAGAATGGAGAATAATGCAACATCACAGTGTGGGAGATCACTAATGAAAAGACGCTTTCAGCTGATACTCCAACCAGGTGGACATTATGAAGAGAATTCCACACTAGTACTTTGAAGAATGAATATGTTTCCAAATTATCTAATTCACAAAGATGCTGTTTTACCATGAAAACACAGTGATACTCAGAAACATTTAATTGTGTAAATATTATAAAAAAGTAGTTTCAATTGAAAGTGCAATCACTCATCTCTCTTTTCTACACACTTTATATATTCTTTAATTCTTCTAGTTCTACCAAAAGAAAATATTGCCACTGCCAAATTTTATTCTCATTTCTAAATACTTTTCCTTCTTTTTTACTTTGAATTTTATTTGTGCAAGTGCAACTTTTATGTGGAAATATCCAAAATAAGTCTGAGCCTAATCTCAATAATATTCATAGGATATGAAACACAGAACAGAAAATTTGCTTCAAAATTTATAGACGTAAATATTGTTTTCTTGGGAGGCCTAGGAGGAAAGATTGCTTGAGCCCACAAGTTCATGACCAGCATGGACAACATAGCAAGACCTTGTCTCTACAAAAAATATTTTTAAAATTTAAAAATTAGTTGGACACAGTGGCACATGCCTGTAGTTTCAGCTACTTGGGAGTCTACATATACATAGCTTTCATATATGAAATTCCTAATCCATTTATATATTTTTCTTATATAAGAGCATTGAGAAATTAAAACTAAATGATCCTTTCTCTTGCATGATACTGGATTACTAGTTCACTAGTATAATAAAGAACATGAGTTCTTGTATCTAGTTTGTACACATTATAACTTACGCAATTTCATTTCTATTTTTGGGATATATTTTACCCATTTTAAAGTCATGCACCTGGCTGAAATTATTTCTAAGTTCACATCCACAACTAAGGGTCTATGATTCTTTTGTTTTTCTCCTTTTTCTATTATAGCAACCTATTTTTATCATTATTTCTTTCAGGTCGTTTAGATAATATTTTGACCACATAATTTCAAAGATATATAACCAGCACTTACTAAATACAAATATGGCTTGACACATATAATTTGGTAATGCAGTTAAATATTATGGATTTCATCTTACCACCATTTTATTTCCAGAACTCCATTACTTGGTGTCAGATTTTGCTTTATTACTTGATTATATGCTTTATACCACGAAGCTGGACTAATTATCTTTGAAATAATACTATTGGAAGGATAAAACCATAATCAAAATCTGTTCTTTTTTCAAAATGGTATATTTCTCATGATTCAAACTATATAAAGTTAAATATTGTTTTTCTATTAGCTAATTCCCTTGTATTCATTTGCCTATGTCTCTGAAATTCATAATAAAGATGAGGAGGAATCACTGAAGTTGAAAGCTGACTAAAGGATGAGAGAATATGTAACATAATGCTCTGAATTAACTTTATATAATAGGGCATTGTGATATTTGTATAAACGGTGAAAGAGGAATGTATGCTATGACTTCAATGAGAATTTGTTTTTGAGGCTTTAAGACAGTTCAGCAGAGAATTCAGACCTGGAATTTAAAGAGCAGAATAAGACCTATTAAGTAATTCAGTTCATTCTATAAAGACAAAAAGAAAGGATGTGAAAATGTAATCACTCATTTTCTGAAAGCTGAGATGTAAGAATCAGCATAAGGATGGCTAGGATATTAGTAGCAAATAGAAAGATTCAGTGGCTGCTTTAAGTTGACAGCAATGTCTGGCTTCTGCTGTGAATTCAGGTTGCTAAACAAAGTTATGCTTACTTGCAGAAATCATAACAAACACCACTGAAACTGAAACCTAAAATGCAATTTATTTTGTGCATTAAAGTAATATAACACAAAGAACTCTGTGATACATTACTTTTCCATCATTAATATCCATCCGTAAGTTGATTCAGGCTGATGATAAACTCCATTATATCATCATTTTTTTCTACACTAAAAAAGGGATAAGACAAAGAGAAGAGAAAACTTCCTTATATTAATGGAAATCCAAGGCCTCCTTTTATTTGTGCATATGAAGAATGATAGTCTTGCAAATGTGCTTTCATTTTTAAAGTAATTAATCATGAAGGAAATAAAGTTCCATCGGTAGGAGACAAATATGGGGAAACATCCTAGATCATAGGCTCTACAATGCAGAAATTAATTTTATAAATATGAGAAAATCATTCTAGAAGAAAAAATGAAAATAAAAATTTATATTTCCCCAATTATTCATATTGTAAGTAAATATACTATACTTTGGGGAGTATGATTTTTTTCTTTCATATAAGTTTAATAGCTGCTATTTGATTATTATTAAACTATAGAAATATGCTAAGCTATTTAAAATAAATTCTAATCTTCATAAAGTAGTATATTGATTAATATCCAGTTTTTTATCCTCTTGTATGTCATTTGTCTTATATAGATGTATCTATTAAAAAGCTTTTATGAAATGAACAAAAGAATGAAAAAATACATGGGTCTAAACCCTGTACTAGCCTATACTATGGAAGAACAGTAAGCAACTTCAATAGTCAGTCTTGTCATTTACCACAAACATTAAAATAGTATTATTTGATTAAGTTACATTTCCTTTGTTAATTTTTGTAGATATCAACAAATGTTAGTGTAGATTAATTTCACAAATATATATTAACCTTTTTTGGGGGGGGAGTTTAGTGTATTATGACTTCAAATATATTGTAACATCTTTGAAGGCAGAAATTAATAATATTCTCTTCTGGTCCATGAAAGTAGTTGGCATCTCTAGCTAGACTTTAAAATTTTTCCAAATGAATTCCATTCATTTTGCATGTTTCCCACAAAATTTACATTGTGATTCTATGACTTTCAATAATTCCAAACACATTAACCTTTATCATGCTTCTCTTAAGCTTATTTAAGTTCAGTTTACTTTACCATACTCGGGCATTAAGAAACAACCACAGATTTCAAGTGTATCCAGAATAAGAAATTAAAACTCACATAAAGCAGATTTCCAATAAGCCTTGCTACATGTAAATTTGGGCTAATTGAATCTAGTAAAGAAATATTTCTTTTATCATATAGTCTAAATTATTCATAAAATATATTTGAAGCTTCTTGGAAAATATAAATTAAAATTGATTTCTACTTAGCACCATGAAAATAACACATTGCATATATTAAAATATAACTTTTAAATATTGTGAGAAACTATACAGGATGTGTTTATAATCTTAGATTGTGAAATACTCTTCTTAATGTGATGCTACATAGAAAAATATTTTCTAATGGTAAAATACATCTTTATAAAACTAGCAATATTTGGAATGTATAAACTAATTACCTATGAATTCCTCTAATCCTTTTTTATTCAGAAAAATAATCACACAACTTGACAAATATATGTCTTTATGCTTGTTAAATGCAGTGTTATTCGTAATAGCAAAATCTAGAAAACACCGTAGGTCTCCTTGAGAAATTTTGTAATATAAATTATGATCTGTCCACATAATGATGAACAATATAGCTAATATGTTTATATGGAAAGATACAGAGATTTCTTGTTAAGTAAATAAAATACATACATCAATATATACATAATAGTATCTTTTTTGTGTTTTTTGGTGCGTACATAGAAAACAGTCTAGAAAACAGTCTTTAATAGAATAGTAATTATAAATTTTGAGTGAAATAACAGATTTTCTTTTGTTTTGTTTATAATGATTTATATATGAAAGTATGCCTGCTTTCAGACTTTAGAAGTCACTTGGCCACGTAAAATTAGGAAAAACAATATAATTTTCAACATTTAAATACTCAGTTTGTTTGTTTTTCTACAAAAAACAAGTACAACTTTTATCCAAAATTATTTTTACTTTATTTTATTAGCTTATTGATGATATACTCTAACCACTAAATTTTAAAATGCTGTCATTATACTTAAAATATAATACATAAAAAGCAGCGTAATCGTTGCTCAAAAAGTTCAGCATGGAATTTAATATGATTCAGTAATTTCACATCTAGGTATGTACCCAAAATAATTGAAGGCAGTGATAGGGACAGATACTTGTACACCAATGTTCATAGGAGCATTAATCACAATAGCCAAAAGGTGGAAACCACCCAAATGTTCGTTAATAGATTAATTGATAAAATGTGGCATACACATGCAATAGAATGCTATTCAGCTTTAAAAAGAAAAAAATACAGATAAATGCTACAACATGGTTGAGGCTTGAAAACATTATTCTAAGTAAAATATGACGTACACAAAAGGGCAAATATTATAAAAGTCCATTTATATAAGGTTTCTAAAATAGGCCATTTTATAGACATGAAGCAATATAGTGGTTACCAGAGCCAGGGGGAGGTGATAATGAGGAATTATTTTTCAATTGGTTCAGAGTTTCAGTTGGGATTATGAAATACTTCTGGAGATGGATAATGGTGATGGTTGCACAACATTATGAATATACTTAACGCCTGTGAATTATGCACTTAAAAATGCCTACAAAGGTAAATTACATGTGATGTGTATTTTACCACAACTGGAATTTAAAAATATGTGCTATTTTATTTTTTTCTGAAACAAAAAGACTGCACATTAAAACTGCATGCAATTTAATGTCCCAAATACATTGTTCTATTTCTTAGTTAAAATCAATGACTCGGATTCATTTACAGAATCATAGGAAATTAACAATATAATTTTTTCACATATGCTGACTAGATTTATTGCTGGTTGGATGAATGATTCTTGCAGTGTTTTACCTGAGGCAGTTATATGGACTATGCACCTTTAACATTTGTTTGGCCTATAATAAATGTTGTACAAATCAATCTTCTTGATATGGTATTATGAACAGTAAAGCTTTTATTTTTAATGAATTTCCTTGACAATTTGGCCAGAACCCAATTGAAAATTAGTTCTAAGTTAGCAATTTTAGGAAAAAAAATCAAACAACAAAAGATAGCCTAATCCTAATTTATATCAAACATTTTAATTCATATGAAAATAGAATTTTCATTACTCCAAATTTTAAACTCTGAAGTATTAAAAGAACTTCACTAAATATAAACTTCCTTGGTTTCATATGGCTGGTTGGTTTCAATATTAAAGGTTTTCTTTTTCTATTGTATGTCACATTTTTATGAATGCATAGTATGTTGGAAATTAACTCTGAGGAATTGTATGCTTTTTGGTTTTTGTTGTTAAATGTTTACTGTGCCCCTTTAAAATGTGGCTTTTTGATATATACATTTGTATTAAAATATTTTGTATATTTAAATAAATACACTTTACATCTCTCTTTGAAGACAACTTTTATACTACTAATATTTAAAGCATCATGCCTAAATGATTGCATTACTCTGTAATTGCTGTTTACAACAATGAATATAATAATCTTAGAGTATCTTACTATCAAAAGTGGAGAAAAGAGGACATTTTTATAGTTCACTAGATGGATATGCTGTTAGATGAACTGGAGCCAAATGCTGTGTATACTAACATATATCTGTTACAGTTTACCCTGAGAGTGATTCTGAGAATACACTGGTAACATTTCATTAAAATTAACTCTTCGTATCACTATCACAGACCTGGATGAAGCCACAAGACACATTGACCCGAGTCTAGCCTGTTGTGGATTGCAGGCTAAGTCACAGAAATACACATCCACATAGAGCTAGAAAACATGAAATTGTACCCAAAAGTTACAAAGTTTATAAAATATTGTTTATTTATTCACTTTATCATTCTCATAAAATTAGGAAATAAAAATCTACTTTATCACTTCTAAGATACCACAGTTTGAAAATTGCAGGTGAATATAAGAGATCATGGGCACTTACTAGAATTCATATGAAGAGCAGGCCTAAGACTTTAAGATTCACTGTAATTCCCAACAAAAACTTCCTTACAGGAGGAGAGAGACCAAGCTTAAGCAAAAATTTGCTGAACATAGAATTCAAAAATAGCAAGGCAGCAACATTGGATCTAAAATATGAAGATACTCACCTATTGAAGGAGTGTCCATAGGAGGTAAATCTGAGAACCATATTACACGAATTGTAAATAATTAGCAGTAAGTTAGATAGGAGAGAGCTCTCTAAGAGTTAAACTTGGAATAGTACACTGGCCCAATTCAAAATTAGGCAGAACTCATCTTTTAAAAGCACAGAAAAATCTATCTAATTTCAAGATGAACAACTAAAAATACTATGATTAAATTGATGCAAAAATATTTTAAGGAAAATATGTTAATGAGTTAAATCCTGTGTAAATAATAAATGCAAGAGAGAAAATATGAGTGTAAATCAGATGAACTCAAAATGAGCTTAAAAATTAAGAAAGTTATGGAAGTACAAGAAAATTGATAAATCAGAAAGTATAAAGCTCAAAAACAAGATAATGAGCAAAGGGCAAGGGTACAATGAAAGGAAAATAACACTAGCAAATAAATATTATACTAGAAGAAAAATAAAAGTAAATAGACACCATGGCATATATAACAAAGAAAAGAGAACATAGGCAAAACAAAAAATTAATAATTCAACAAAAGAAATAGATAAATTAAGAAAACAACTTAGAATGAAAACATACAGAATGTGTATAAAGGAAGAAAGAGCAAAGCAATTAAAAAGAAACATACATATACAAACACATATACTGTATATATACATATGTTTGTGTGTGTCTGTCTGTGTATATTGATATATTTTTCCTAAAAGAGCAGTAGTAGTGTTAGTAGTAGAAATAACAATAATAGAAACATCATATTGATAATGCACACTATTTATGGAGAAATAATTCTAGAATGGTACAAACCCATATTCTACCTAAGCAGCTGAGACTTTATATTTTATATGTATACGTATATGTATATATATTTATTATATATTAAATATATAAATATAAAAGCAAAATATTAGTCTCTTATAAAGAAAGGAAAATCCCTATATGACCCTTTATCTATGATGGAGTATCCAAAACACAATAGAGTAATAAATTTAAGATAGTCAAGGATGGAAACATTAACCAAGATTTTAATTTCAGCTAAACTGACTTTAAATATGAAGCCCAGATACCAGCAGTTAAATTATCAACATGTCAGATCTAAAGAATTGTTTTCTTGATTTATTTTGAAGTAATCTAGAGGATGACCTTCAGATTCAGAACTTCAGAAAAAAAAAACTAGCACAAACTTCAGAAAACTATCTCATGAAATTTTTGAAATATATGTAATTAAGACTAAATTATAGGGATAAAATGACTGACTTAAATGTTTTAACAATATAAATGTAAAATACAATTTTTAAAAATATGGTAGAAGGAGAAGATTACTGATTACATCATAGGTATTAACTTGGTATTAAAATATTAATTTAAAATAATTGTGGAAATAATATGAGTGAATAGCAAGTTTCATTATTTCCCATAGGAAGGACATAGGGAATTTTAAAAGCAGTATCTATATGAGCTCATTACTAGAATTGTAATTTAGAAAATACCACAAATATAAAAAATATAAAGATAACAAAAAAGAGACAGATATTATATGGTTTTTCTCTGTGTCCCCACCCAAATCTCACCTTGAATTGTAATAATCTCCATGTGTTGTGCAGGAACCTCCTGGGAGGTAATTGTATCATGGGGGTTTTACCCATGCTTTTTTCTTGACGGTGAATGAGTCTCAGGAGATCTGATGCTTTTACAAAGGGGAGTTTCTCAGCACATGCCCTCTTGCCTGCTGCCATGTAAGGTGTGCCTTTGCTCTTCCTTTGCCTTCCACCATGATTGTGTGGCCTCCCCAGCCATGTGGAATATGAGTCCATTAAACCTCCTTCCTTGTAAATTACCCAGACTCAGATATCTGTTTAGTAACAACATAAGAATGGACTAATAGAGTGAATTGATACCAGTAGACTGGGGTGCTGCTGTAAAGACATCCAAAAATGTGGAACTGACTTTGGAACTAAGTAACAGGCAGAGGTTGGAACACATTGGAGGGCTCAGAAGAAGGCAGGAAAATGTGGGAAAGTTTGGAACTTTGTAGATACTTGCTGAATGGTTGACCAAAATGCTGATAGTGATATGGACAGTGAAGTCCAGGTTGGGGTGGTCTCAGATGGAGATGAGGAACAAAGGTGATTCTTTTTGTGCTTTAGCAACGAGACTAGAGGCATTTTGCCCCACCCTACAGTTTTGTGAGACTTTAAACTTGAGAGAGATTATTTATGGCATCTGGCAGAAGAAATTTCTAAGCAGTAAAGTGTTCAAGATGTGAATTGGGTGCTGTTAAAAGCATTCAGTTTTATGTATTCACAAAGATATGGTTAAAAATTGGATCTTATTTCAAAAAATTTAAAAAAGGGAAACAGAGCATAAAATTTCAGAAAATTTGCAGCCTGATGATGCAATAGAAAAGAAAAACCCACTTTCTGAGGAGGAATTCAAGCTTGCTGCAGAAATTTGTCTAAGTAACGAGGAGCTAAATGTTAATCACCAAGACAATGGGGAAAATGTCTCCAGGACATGTCAGAAACCTTCACTGCAGCCCCTCCCATCACACGGGTCCAGAGGCCTAGGAGGGAAAAATGGTTTTGTGGGCTGGGACCATGGTCCCCCAGCTCTGTGCTGTCTAGAGACTTGGTGCCCTGTGTCCTAGCTGCTCCACCCATCGCTATAAGGTGCCAAAGTATAGCTGAGGCTATGACTTCAGAGGGTGCAAGCCCCAAGCCTTGGCAACTTCCATGTGGTGTTAAGCCTGCAGGTTCACAGAAGGCAAGAATTGAGGTTTGGGAACCTCTGCCTAGATTTGAGAGGATGTATGGCTATGCCTGGATGTCCAGGCGGAAGACTGCTGCAGGGACAGAACCCTCATAGAGAACCTCTGCTAGGGCACTGCAGAAGGAAAATGTGGGGTTAGAGCCCCAACATAGAGTCCCCACTGGAACACTGCCAATGGAAGTTGTGAGAAGAGGGCCACAGTCCTCCAGCCCACAGACTTGTAGATCCACCAACAGCATGCATCGTGCACCTGGAAAAGATGCAGACACTCTATGCCAGCCTGAGAAAGCAGCCAGCAGGGAGACTGTACCCTGCAAAGCCACAGGGGTGGAGCTGCCCAAGACCATGGGAACCCACCTCTTGCATCAGCATGACCTGGATGCGAGAAATGGAGTCAAAGGAGATGATTTTGGAGCTTTGAAGATTTGGCTGGGTGTTGATATCTCTATGTTCCCAGACTAGTAAATGCTCGCCAATGTAGCATCCCTTAATCCAGCATCCTCAGAAGCCAGTCTCATGAATACTTTCCTAGCTTTCACTGGTACTTGTTGGCTATGACCTGAAGTTTCTTCTGGATATAGTCCATTTCCTTCCTTAGCAGATCCAGCACTATCCCAGGTGGATTCAACTGTGACTTAGTTCCAGTTATTAACCTTGTGACAAAAAGGGATGATGTAGCCAGATTCTGTGAGTCACATGCTGTTTTACAGAAAAGAGACATCTGTATCATATTCAAGCAAGAAGTGTGTGTCATATTATTAGGGATGGGTGGACCACATCTATAGGATCAAATAATTCAAGAGAATCTGGGAATTTAAGATTTTGGGGCATATATACCTAGATATCCTCATCCCATTCCATGGTCTCATTCTTCCTGCAACGAGACCTGAGTTGGGTATACAGATCTGTCTATATTGAGATTTCAGTTGTTTGGCATATAGATCTGTCTCTATTGAGATTTAAGTTTCCTTTGGAGTTTTGGACCTATGATTATGTCCAGGGCATGAGCTTCAGCTTCCTCTTCCCTTGTCTGCTGACAATGAGTATCTTTTTATATGCTACCAAGGAGGCCTTCTATCACTCACCTTTGTGCTGTCAGTTACTCACTTCTAGTCTTTTGTTATCTTCTTCCAAAGCATAAATGGCAGTAACTATCCACTTTCATTGCCTTTATATTTATTATCTCTCCCTTGTATCAGAGTCCTGATACTTTGCTCTAACTAGCACATCTCTTTCCACTGGTATACTACTCTCATTCACCACCAGTGAAAGTTCTAGGGCACATTTACATTCCCATACATGTCCCTCCACAACAAGCAATGAAGTCCTCATTGCCAGGTGGCTGACAGTTAATTAGCTGTAGAATCCCATTTTGGCATCTCCTTTCAGAGATTACTCTTTCCTCAAGCTTACTGATTGATCTTCCTGGAAAGGAGAACTTAAGATGGAGATTAATTTATAGGAAATAGTAGAGTAATGTAAGCATCCTTTAAGTTTGTCCTCAGTTAGAGGAAGGGAGCTAGGTCTTTATTTATCTGTGTTTTCTATCAGTGGATGCAGGTTGCCCAGGGGAAGGGGTGTGACATTGAGAAATCATTGTTTCCACCTAAGGGCAATTTATTCATATGGCTGACTGCTCAGGGCTTTAACTCACAATGTTCCTAGCAAATGGAGGGACAAGTTCTTCAGTTCTGAAGGGGAATCATAGTGGTGCATCAGAGCTTAGAACACTGTGCATTGTCAAGTCAGTTACCATTGTGGTTAACTAGGATGATATTGGGAATATCTGGGTGTAAGTGTAGAATATGTGTCTCGGAGTGATACTGCCTGATGGGCAAGGTAGCTGTGTATTTATTCAATTATATTTAAATGACAAATATGCATATATTTGTTGTACAACATGTTTTGAAATATTGTGAAATGGCTAAGTTGAGCTAACTATGATGTGCATTATCTCACAAATTCATCATTTTTGTGGTAAGAACACTTAAAATCTATTTTTTCAGCAATTTCAAGAATACAATATGGTGGCTACAGTTAATAAAAAAGTAGCTGTGTTTTGACAGAGCAAGTCCCGCTAGCCACTTATCCAACAGATGAGTGCTGTTCTGGCATGTGCTGGGAAGGGGATGGTGGTGATAATTCTCTGGCCTTTGAGCATGCTTGTGTGTATATAGGCTGAAATCCAGCTATCTAGCTGTTGCAGAACACTTCCAGGTGTGAAAATCTACTGTATATACTGTATATATAGATTTACAGAAATGTATTGAAACTGGTAATATGTACAAATTATAAGAAATAGAAGAAAATACATTCAACCTTATGATGGAATGTAGAAATTACTTTACAAAATACCACAAAATAAGAGATAGTAGTAAAAACTTTATTCCTCTTTATCTCCTTAAAAATGCTATTCTGTTGAGTATAGCTGATAAATGAATTTATATAACAGAATAAAAATATTGAAAGTACACTTTGATTATATATGTACATATATTAGAAAATATGTATAATTGGAATATATATATCAATGTATTTAATGTATTGCAATCTAGCATTGGGAAAAATTCTATAATTTATTATACACACATATTTACTTATGAATTTCTTTGATCCTTCAAGAATGCTCATAAGAATATTAATTATTCTAACTATGATTTTGTTTCAAGAAAAGAAGAGCTATGCCTGATCTATGAAGGTCAATATACTTCAAGGTATTTCTTAAGAAATTAATTGATATTGCTAAAAAAAAATCAAGAATGATCCCAAATTACCCCTTTGTAACTTTTTTATAATATTTCCTCCATAGGGAATTATCTGAATATCCCAAGATACTTGTTTGATAAATATTAAATTATTAAAACTGTCAAACATAATATTTTTCTGAATTATGATTTCTGTTTTATAGCCTTAGCATTAATATGTTTTATTACAATTTTAATGTAGTCTAAATTTTTTATTACAAAATTTTCATTTTCTATTTTACATCTATTTTTGGGAGAAATGATATATTAAAATCTGCCTGCTATATGAACTGGCTGGCCTGGAAAGAAACGGCTGAATTCCCATTTGAAAAAATTGTATTTTTTTTGACAGAGAATAATTTGTAAATTTTAATAAAAGATAAGGCCTGCTGTGTATGACATAAATTGGAACTATTTTAAGGATAGGTTTAAATTGCTACCTAATAAAGTAACAAGTATTTGCAATTTTGATGGCTTAACAGGGGTTTTGTTTTGTTTTGTGTGGTTTGTTTCTTGCTTTATTTTAGAAAATGGATTCTCTAAGAAGCAGACAAGAGAGGATAGGAAGCTTGGGACTGCAGTTCAAAATAGTGAGGAATTCTATATGGAGAGGAAGGCTTATATACTTCTTGGAACAATGTCGTGTTGGATTACATTCAAAATTATTTCTTGTTGAACTGATAAGTTCCCCTTTTTACACATGAAAACAGCAGCAAAAGTCTACTGCACATTAACTCTATGTGCCTAGTCTTTTGATAAATGAAGAACAAAGGACGAATATCCTGGTGCTCCAGGTCTAGAGAGCACAGGCATGGAGCAGAGCTGGTGCCGTGGTTAGGAGTTCTGCAAAGTGGTTGAATGAACTGCAGAGAAAAGTGACTCAGGAGGAAGTGTTTACCAACCACTCCCCAGTACCTCAGGTGACCACTGACAGGGTAATAAAGGGATTATGGAAAATGGCATCACTCTCCTATATATAGATAAGTATCTGAGCCATCTGATTTACCTATTGAATGGAAAGGTGATACCAGGAAGCAGGAAAAAAGGCTTTGTGATATTCAAGTAGCATACTCTCTGATTTCATATGCGTAAATTGTAGAAAACCTTCTGACACATTTTATTGATTTAGGTTTATTAGCGTTACAAGTCTATGTTAACAAATAAAACAAGAAAACTCTAATCGTTAATCATTGTCTCTTAAGAAGCAACTAACTTTGGGATAAATAAAGCAAAACAAATTGTTTTTCTTCTTGGGTCTTGAGTGGAATGAGGTGGGTGGATATATCCCCACAAACACATGTTCTAAAATAATATATTATTTTTCCCAATGGTCATATGAGTCTGCAGTAGATACAGGTACTTTCCTCAGGGGTTTCAAAATATTTCTCTTTTCTTCTTTTGTCTCTGACCACTTTCACTGATATTCTCTATCTAGAGTAAATCAGTCATGCACTGTACAACTAGGACACTTTGCAAGTATCAAAGGAAAACTGTCACTGCTTCTAATGTCCTAAATCATGTATGACAGAACTATTTTGTTGTTTCCCCAAATCTGCAAGTGATCTCTATTTAACTAGGAAATGCTTTCCTGTAAATTGGCTTCTCCTTCACATTTCTACTTACTGAAGCCATAATGTCTGTCACTGACGATAGGCAGATGCACTCCTGAAAGGAAAAATATCACCAACCCCTCACTTGGTAATAATCTTCTGCATCTTCCTTAGCTAAGTATTTCTCCCATATCCTATTTATTTTCTTTTACAATATACGCATGACTTGCAAATTTGAAATATTCTTCTTTCATGGAGAAACTCAGAGTTGGTCTTAGGTCTTAAACATTCACCGCACTGAAGAAGTTCTAAACAACTAGTGTTTTGGCAAATTTAACTTCTCAGTCAAGGTGATCTATTATTCACTGAACATTTTGCACAATCTATAATATAATTCCCTTTTTAGGAGAAGAGTCCTTTTCTTTCAGATAAATGGCAGAAATCTGTTGCAGGTATGTCTTTTGTAATATATCTGGATTTTGTATACTACATCAGCCAATTAAATTTATGTGAAATGCATCTCTAGTACTGAGATTCTATCTTTTGTGATTCATGAAGTTTCCCTGTAGAGATTTAATACCTTACATTAATTTTTTTTGTAATTAAGGTGTTTGTTTGTTTGTTTTTGGGTTGTTTTTTTTTGTTTGTTTGTTTGTTTTTGTGAGACCGAGTCTCACTCTGTTGCCCAGGCTAGATATAGTGCAGTGGGGCGATCTCGGTTCACTGCAATGTCCACCTCTCAGTGTCAGGCTATTCTGCCACCTCAGCCTACCGAGTAGCAGGGATTACAGTCGCATGCCACAGTGCCTGGTTAATTTTTGCATTTTTAGTAGAGACAGATTTCACCATGTTGGCCAGCCTGGCCTCAAACTTCTGGCCTCAAGTGATCTGCCTGCCTCGGCCTCCCAAAATGTTGGTATTAGTGTGTAATTAAGATTTAAATGCCAAGTCCCACAAATCTTGGTATATAGTGAGATGCCATTTAACAGATCACTATCCTATTATGACTCTGTCTTATACTAGTTTTGCAAGTCTTAACAGAAGAACTTTGGTTGGGTCGAGTCATCATAAATTCATTGCTGAGGTTGAGTTTTGGTGTCAAAGTGAAAACATGATATCGAGACCAGCAAGTGATAACCATTTGGACATGACTGGATTGACAGTGCTGGAAATGGAACTTTTTATTTTGGTTATAAAATATATTCTAGGCTGGGCGCAGTGACTCACGCCTGTAATCCTAGCACTTTGGGAGGCCAAGGAGGGCGTATCACCTGAGGTCGGGAGTGCAAGACCAGCCTGGCCAACATGGTGAAACCCTGTCTCTACTAAAAATTCAAAAATTAGCCAAGTTTGGTGGCGGGCACCTGTAATCCCAACTACTTGGGAGGCTGAGGCAGGAAAATTATTTGAACCTGGGAGGTGGTGGTGGCAGTGAGCTAAGATAGCGCCATTGCACTCCAGCCTGAGCAACAGGAGTGAAACTCCATCTCAAATATACATATATATATTACATAACATATATGTTATATATATATTACATAACATATATGTTATATATATATTACATAACATATATGTTATATATATATTACATAACATATATGTTATATATATATTACATAACATATATATTATATATATATTAAATCTTTAAAACACTTTCTAACCACCACTATTCTATCAATTTTTTTCTTTTAATATAATTGACATAGTTTTCTTATCTTCCAAATTTAATTACATTCATCCGATGATAGGTCAATATATTAACACATCGTTATAGGCCTCCACTGTGCAAAGCACTTAGCAAAGCGTGTTCAGTGAAGCAGGGGACAATACACAAATACTTCTTGATCTGCTATTTTGTGTAATATAGAAGGATAAATAATATTAAGCAGAGAAATACACATACAATTACTTAATTGGAAGTAAATGTGGTGTTATTTGGGGCAAAGGAGTGCTTCCTGAGAAATTAGTATTTAACCTGAGGCTTGGACGACATTAGGACAGCTGAATAGGTAGAAAGAAGATGGAAGATAAAAGCTCTCAAGAGCCGGCTGGGCGCGGTGGCTCATGCCTGTAATCCCAGCACTTTGGGAGGCCGAGGCGGGCGGATCACGAGGTCAGGAGATCCAGACCATTCTGGCTAACACGGTGAAACCCCGTCTCTACTAAAAAATACGTAAAATTTAGCTGGGCTTGGTGGAGTGCCCCTGTAGTCCCAGCTGCTTGAGAGGTTGAGGCAGGAGAATGGCGTGAACCCAGGGGGCAGAGCTTGCAGTGAGCAGAGATCGTGCCGCTGCACTCCAGCCTGGGCGACAGAGCAAGACTCCGTCTCAAAAAACAAAAAGAAACAAACAAAAAAACTCTCAAGGGCCGCTGGAAGCCAGACTGAGGAGAAAATTGAAAACAAAAACAAAACAAAACAAAAGAGAGAGAGAGAGAGAGAGCTAGACTAGGGGATGCCTAATTATGTGTATGACACCGGCCTTGTGCTGAATCTCAAGCTGTGCATGTGTTCAACAGACCTGAAGCATAATAGAAAGTAATTGAGAATTAAACTACAATATAAACTATGGCCCAAGTTTCAGAATAACTCATGAACTGTGCATGTACAGGATAAACTCAAAGAACAATGAAAAGATTTTAAAAACTGCACTGATATTAGAACCCACAGAAGGTGAGAGAGAAATTATTATGTGAACCTCAGTGGATTGGAAAATAAAAACAAAACAAAAACAACACAATAATAACAACAACAAATAACCTTCTCCAGAGGATCTGTAATAAGACCCAAAATCTGATAATATAATATTCAAAATGTACAAGATATAATCTAATATTCCTAGACAAAGATCCAAAAAATCCAATATTCAAAGGAAAATTCAATCAACAGACTCAAGAGGACAAATATAACATTATCCTACTTATATGATGAATCTAAAATAATCAAATTCATAGAAACAGAGTAGAATGTTGGTTGTCAGGACCTATGAGGAGGAAAAAGAGGAACGTATTAGTCGATGAGTAAAATATTTCAATTATGCAAGATAAATATGTCCTAGATTTCTACTCTAAAACATAGTGCCAATAGTTAACAATCCTATATTGTGTACTTAAAAAAAAAGCCAGAGTAGATCTTAGGTTGTTTTACCAAAATAATAAATATAGGGGACAGGAGGTCTCTTTTGGAAATGTTTGATTTTGGTATAGATTGTGGTGATGGTTTTACGAGTGGATATTTATCTCTTAATTCATCAAGTTTTATACATTAAATAATGTACAGGTTTTTTTGTATATCAAAAAACAGACTAGACAACTGAAGCAAGTGATAAAATTCCTAGAAAGAAACAGATTTTGAAAACTGACTTAGAAAAATCTGAATAGATCTATAACCAATAAAGTTATTCAATAAGAATCTCAGGATCACATGACTTCACTAAGGACTTCTTTCAAATATGTAACAGTGGAATAATACTAATCCTTAAAAAGTCTTTCAGAAAGTACATGAACAGAGTAAGTACAACTTACTCTATTGGATCAATATTATCCAGATACCAAAGCTAGGCAAAGATATCAGAATAAAAACTTCAGTGAAACTACCCAGCAACATCCTTCGTGAAACACTAACACAAAAATACTTTAAAAACATTATCAAATTCTAATCAAAATTAGCAAATACCCTAAACATTTAAATGTGTTTTAGCATCTAAAAATTAATTAATGTCATTATTCGTATAAGTAGTATAAAGAGGGAAAAAGTACCTGATCATCTCTACTGATGCCCAAAAATTTGTTTTGATAACAACAAATATCCATTCATTACAAGAATTTCAATAACCTAGGAATAGAAGAAAACTTCCTCTTTCTGATCAATAATATGTATGGAAAACTTATGGTAAATTATACTTAATTGTGGAAATAAATAATTTACTCCTATGATCTGGAACAATTCAACAATGTGAGTTCCCTTCATACGTACTCAATATAAAATTAATACACATACATTAATTATATCTATATATCTATCAAAATGAAAATACAAAATAAACCACCAAATAAAGGAATTTGCAAATCAAATGTCTGACAAATGATTTGAATCCATACTATATCTCTGTTCTTATACTAATACTACAATGTCTTCACTACTGTAGATTGATAATGAATTTTGAATCAAGTACTGTAACTTCTCTAACTTGTATTTATAATTATGTGCCACATTTTGCTTATCTATTAAGCAGTTGATGGGTACTTAATTTATATTGTTTCCAAGTATTGGAAAAAATTGTACTGGCTATTCTTGCTTCTTTGCACTCCATACAAATTTTAGGATAAGCTTGTCAAATTCTACAAAAATTCTGCTGTAATTTGATATGTATTTTATTGAATTTACACATCAATTTAGGAGACAATCATCATCTTAATAGAATAGATTATTTCCATGAACGTGGCATGTCTCTCTATTTCTTTAGACATTATTTACTCTCTCTCAGCAATCTTTTGTTGTTTTCAAGGTACATCTTGCACTTCGTTCATTAAATTCATTCCCAAGAATTTTATTTTTGATACTATTATAAATGGAATGTTTTATTGATTTTATGTTCAGATTATTTGTTGATAATATATAGACATTTTGTATATACATGAGTAGCTAGTAAGCATATGGAAAATCTCAACATCATTAGTCATTAGGGAAATGCAAATTACAACCACAGTGAGCTACCATTATTCTCCTTATAGAATGGCTATAGTCAAGAAGACTGATGGTACCAGGTGTTAGCAACAGTGTGGAGAAACAGGTGGGAATGTAAATAAGTGAAGCCACTTTGGAAAACAGTTTGGCTGTTTCTGAAAAAGTTAAACATATTGTATAGTAACAAGCTCTTTATTTTCCTCTGAATTGCTAAAGCCTGTTCAAGGCATACTACTTTGAAGCAATGACATTTTTCCATTCTACACCATGAAAACTCAAAGCACCCTGATATAACCAGGAACTGAGAGATGTTTTGCATGAAATTATATGAGAACATGGTGAGAAAGATAATGCTTCTAGTGCAAGAGTGATTAGGAACTAGAGAGGGAGAAGTTGTAAAATCTTTGCCCATCAGTAATTAGGGAGTTTAGAATATTCTAATTTCTCATATATCTATATATTTTGTGTTCTTCAGTAGAAAAAAATTTAGAAATTTTATATGAATTTTGATGTTTTAATTGCAAGCAATAAGAATACCAAGTCCAAAATGAACTCATTGTAAAGAAATTAGGAACAGATGAAATAGATGGAGAGGTGGGCTACAGCAGGCTTGGGTAAGACAGGCATCCAGAGAGCCTTCAGAGGGCTAAGAACAAATAAGCAAAGAACAGTTTAGCCAGTCAAGGTGCAGCCACTGGGAGAATGAATCACAACTGCCTTATCTCTTCCATTTTCAAGATTAAGGGAAAAGGACCCCACTGGCTGTGTTCAGGTCATATGGCTACCCTGGCTTTACCGAGAATTGATATGGCAGGCTGTACCTAGATTGCTTTCAACTACAGAGGGCACCTGTGTGTAATTTCCCCCTGTCTACACACCAGCTGGAAAGGAACACAGAAAGAAGTTATGATTCTAGAAGGAAATAGATGGGAATGGATCCACAACCCGTAAATTTGGCGTTGTCTCTGTCCACATTTAAAATCAACTCATAAACCATACATTTTTCAACTTCCCACTCCCAATATATAGAACAGTGCCTGACACCTAGTAAATAGTTATTTATTGACTGGCTTACCACCCTGTTCAATAAAAACCCCTAAAATCAAATGAGAAAATGTTGTCATAAATTTTAAAACTGATAGAATAGTTTATGACATCACGGCTTATGATTTTATTTTAATATTATTAAAACAATCTAATGACTATATTTGTCATTATGGAGTTTCTTCACTTAATTTAAAAAGTTTTAACAATTGAGAAAAAAATTAACATCATAAATTGGTAAAGCAGAAAATGAACTCAGGCATGTCTGTAACAGATGGTGAAAACTAACTCATCATTGTAATCATTTTATTATTTCTCATCAAATTCATTATTGATTCTAACACATATTTGTACTGTGTTTCCCAAAATGGAGGAAAAATGCATTGTATATTTCTCAAGGGGAGAGAGAAATGCCTTTGATGATCTTTGTACATGAAGAATGAAATTTGATTACTTAGAGTTACAGATACTTGCTATTAACATAATATACCTGGAGACAAACAGTGAAAACTAGTTCTGAAACACGCATCAGGAAAGACGTGGGGGAAGCATAGTGAAAGGCAATGATTAGAACTAGCAAATTCACCCTATTCCCTCAAAAACCAGCAAGCGTCTAAAAAAAGACTGGGCTGTGCTAATATTATTGTACTTGACTCAGCAACAGCAGAGTTTGCATCTTGCTTTATTGAAGTCTTCCCTTGCAAATAGAGAATAAGAACCATTCAAATATTCTAAAATCCTGAGATTTGTAACATATCAATCTCTTAAACAAACTAGCTTATATTAATTTCTGAAGACCCATGCCAAGGGAGAATTATCATAGCATATCAATGACATTGACAATTAGTCATTTTTTCCCCTGAGTTTTGATATAACCTAATTCATTTTGTGCTTACACTTCCTCCAGGTTATTCTTTGCTAACATTAATAAAAAATTTACATGTTAGACGTGTTAGCAGTAACTCACCTAAAATGAGATTCCATACTCTAGGCTGCCAGTGTGAAACCCTCAATAACAACCACCCAGCCCTATGTGAATCATGTAAGTGACACAGTGACACATCATTATAGAATAGACTTTATGACAGTTCTTGGATCCTTTACACACAGGAAGTTTCGGTCATGAATTCAAAACTGCTACAATTTCTGAGAATGTCAACTTCGTTGTTTAAAGCAGAAGTAGGGGAAGAAAATTAAAGAACAGTAAATACCAAAAAACTTGTGGTCCTTTTGAGACACGGCCAAAACAGGCTTTGGTTTTGGCAAGGGAGGAAGAAGAGGAAACTGATGGGAGGCAATAAAATAATTTAAAGGGCAGTTTCCCTCCTTCCTTCCTTCCTTCCTTCCTTTTCTCTTTTTCTCCCTTCCCTTATTTTCTTTTTACCTTTGTATTTAACTTTTTAAATAGAAAGATTTGAATTAATAGACATCACTTTCTGCTCATCCTGGTTTTATCTCATAAATTTTATTCCTGTGAGAGAGACAGAACTTGATTTAAAAAATCTTATCAACTGAAAGGACAAGAAACATTTTTAATACAACTAATCAGAACAAGATGAAAGAGACATAAAATTTTATTTTATAAATATATTTTAAATTACAGAAATATCCAAAGTTCACAAATAATAAGCAACTGGATAATACAAATAAATAATAACACTTTGTATTAGAAAAGAAATTACAATATCAAAAGACAAAATGTCAACAAACTTAGTTAAACAACCTAATTGGTCTTTATTTGCAATTCAGTAATTGGGGAGCATCTCATTCAAAAAACAGAGGGGCTATGCTGGGCATGGCACACTGTCAGATTTTATAAGGTAGCTTAATCAGGCACAAGGAAAGAGCAAAAAGGAGACTGCTCAATATCAGTTTACATCAGGTTACTTTCCTTGTAAAGGTTAAAGCAGATAGGACTTTTTAATTGTGCCAGCTAAAACTGGCCTGTTTCAGAATTTGGCTATCTCTGTCCTTATTTCTTAGAAGGTCAGATAAATAACTTAGTTTCTGTCTGGATACATGGGATTTTAGCATGAATTACTCCATTTTGGTTTGCTCTATTGGATCATAATGCAGGAGCTCAGTCCAAATCAATGACCTCCTATAAATGTATTTAACGATACATTCCATTCTTTTTATATAACTTACTTTGTCTCATTTGATCTCTAACAGTGGTATAAGTTAAATAGAGCATTATTAATCCTGATTGCAGAAGAAGAAAGAACCAGTGATTTCGAACAGTGAATTAGCTTGAAATCAAAACTCTAGAAAGATAATAAATTCCTGGAACACAAGAAATCTGTCTCTCTAACTAGAAAACAGTTGCACTTTCAGAATCTGCCTAATGTAACTGTTTTGGAACCCTGGAGTCTATCAGAGGCTTGCAACTTTCACCCCGTTGGGATGGTAAAAGGGGCAAAATTCAATTTATTTCTGCTCTTTGCACAGTAGCAGCTACCCATTTCCCACTGCCAAACCTGTGGAAGGGACATGTGCATATGTTCCTAGAGCAGCCTGTACACAGCTTCTAGAAGCCAAAGTGGATAAAAAAGTACCTTGTCCTCTAAATATTAGGGGTCTATACTTTAATCACCTATTGCTGCTTTTGATCACAGAGCTGCAAAGAGACAGGTGGACATTGTTGTTGTACTTCCCTCCATTGTGGTCCAAAGTCCCCAATAAATCAAAAGTGAAAAGATGGAAGATGATATTCCATGCAAAGAATTTTCCATGCAACTGAGTAATTCCATGCAAAAGAAAGCAGAGGAGGTTGCACTAATATCAGACAAAATAGACTTTAAACTAAAACTTATGAGCCAAGGAGGACATTATATATTACTAAAAGGTTCAGTGCATCAAGAGGACATAACAATTATAAACATTTATGAGCTTAATAACAGACCATCAAAACGTATAAATTAAAAATTGGTAGGATGGAGGGGAAATAGATAGTTCTGCAATAATAGTTGAAGACTTCAATATCACATAACAGAATTTATGAGACACAGCACTGCTAAGGGAAAAATTTATATCTATAAATGCACATTAAAAAACAAGAGAGATCCCCAATCAACAACATAACTTTACAACTTAAAAAACTATTTTGGTCTATTTGTATTGCTATAATAAAATGCCCCAAACTGGGTAATTTATAAATAACCAAAATTTATTTCACACAGTTCTGGGGGCTGTGAGTTCCCAATCAAAGTACCAGCAAGGTTAGTGTTTGGTGAGAAGAGCTTTCTGCTTCAAAATTATGCCTTGTTGAATCCTTCAGAGGAGAAGAATGCTGCTTCCTTACATGGTAAATAGGAATAAAAGAGCTCTGGCCTCCCATAAGCCTTTTTTATAAGGGAGCTTATCCCATTCATGAGGCCCACATGGCCTCATCTCCCAAAAGCCTCACCTGTTAATAGCATTTCCTTGGGAGCTAATTTCCAATACATAAATTTTGGAAGAATACATACATTCAAACCATAGCATAAACCTAGAAAAATAAAGTAAGTGCAAAATAAGTAAAGTAAGTAAGTGCAAAGCTAGCAGAAGGGATGAAATAATAAATATTAGAGAGCAGAGGTAAATGAATAAGAAAACAGAAAACATTAGAGAAAATCATTGAAATGAAAAGTTGCTTCTTTGACAACATGACAAACCTGTAGCTAAATGGACTTAGAAAAAGTGAGAGAAGACTCAACATACCAAAATCAAAGTGAGAGTGGGATTATATTAGGGTCTTGAAGTGATGTTTGTACACCCAAGTTCATAGCAGCATTATTCAACATAGCTGAAACATGGAAGCAAACCAAGTGTCCACTGATAGCTAAGTGGATAATCAAAATGTGGTATATATATAAACAGCACATTATTCAGTCTTAAAAGGGAAGAAAATTCTGACATATGATCCCGCTGGCTGTTCCACTTTTAGGTATTTACCCAGGAGAAATGAAGACATATATACACACAAAGACTTGTGCTTATTATTTACAGTACCTCACTTTATAACAGCCAAGAAATGGAAAGAATCCTCACTTCCATTAACAACTGACAGGATAAAGAAATTGAGGACTATCTATTCAATGAAATATTACTCAGCAATCAAAAAGAATGAACACTTGATACACGCTATATGGATGAATCCCCAAATATGGAGCCAGACAAAAAAGAGTACGTACTCTGTATTTTCATTTATGTAAAATTCTAAAAAACACAAACAAATCTGTGGTAGGAAAAGGTCAATGGTTGTTTGGGATGGGAACAGGGGGAAGCAGGAGGGAGGGATTACAATAGAGGATAAGAAAATTTTTGGATGTGATGAATATTTTTATTATCTCGAGGGGAGTGATGGTTTAGCAGTGTATATACCCCGGTTAAAAAGTTATCAAAGGATGCACTTTAAGTAGATGTTGTTTATTGTATGTCAATTATAATTCAGTGAAGGCACTGCAATTTTTTAATTTTTGAAATAAGTGAATTTATTTGATTTTTATAGAATAGTTACATAGTAACAGTATCCAATATAGATACATCTCTTCCTGATTCCTGATCCAGGGTACAATTCTGAGGAGACTTTATAATTTATTACCTTAAAAATAAATACTTCCATGGAATCTTTGTATTATATAGTACATCACTAGTCTTTTAAAAATTCTATTGCATGGTTATCAAAGGCTGGGTGGAGGGGAGATGGATGGAGAAAGAGAGATGTTGATTAAAGTGCACAAAATGTCAGACAGGAGAAATCTAGCTGTAGTGATCTATTGCACAGAATGGTAATTATAATAAATAATAATGTCTTTTCTATTTCAAAATTATTAAAATAGTAGACCTTAAATATTTTCACCATAAAAAATGATTTGTGAGGTCCTGGATTTGTTAATTAGCTTGATTTAATCATCTGACAATGTTATATCAAAACGTTGCATTGTACCTATATATATATGCATATGTATAATGCCATCAATAATTTTGTGTATATATATAATTTATATTTTTATATATATATATAAAACATACAAAATTATTGATGGCAGTGGGAGGCAGACAGGTTCCTAGGCAGAAAGGGGTGTGTCCCCATTGAAACACCACCTTCAAGCCAGGGACTGCCTGAAGCCGGGGGTCTGGGCTGCCAGTTCCAGGTGAGGTGCAACACTGGTAGTGAGAATTTCCTTGATGCCTTTGAGACAATCAAGTGGGGCTTTTTCCAGGTCCTCCCATGAACCAATCAGTACACACTTCCTCCTGCTCATGGACCAATCGGCATGCACTTCCTCTGAGCCTATAAAAACCCCAAACTCAGACTCAGACACTTGTCCAGACGACCTGCCTGCCAATGGGAGCTACCTACTTCAGCTTTCTTCTAGACTGAGAACTGTTTTGTCACTCAGTAAAGCTCATTTCTGTTTTGCTCACCCTCCAGTTGTCCACATAACCTCATTTTCCCTGGATGTGAGATAAGAACTTGAGACTCCCCCAAACAAGGAGCTGTAACACATCCACGGCCAGCTCTCCATGCTGACAGGAGCCAAAGGGGTTATAACACCAAAGCCCTCCATCTTTGCTAGTGCCACCTGACCAGCACACATGATGCAAAGCAGAGGCAGGGCTAGGCCAGCCCAAGAGATGAAGGCAGCAGAAGAGGAGAAAGAGAGAAGAGCTGTGGCCCTTCTGGGAGCCTAGACCTTGGGGCTCCCTGAGCCAGGGCTCTGATATGCTGTAACACCCTCTTTGGGGATCTGTGGCTCTTGGTGTCTCTGAGCTTTTGGGAACCAACACGTTCCCCTCATCCAGACACTGGTGCCCACAGTGGAAGACACTTGTGGTACTTCTGAACCAGCTGCAGCCTTGCACGGAGCTGGCACCTTTGTTGGTGCCTGGACCTTCCCGCCCTGCTGCAGTAGCCATTGTGCCTGGCTGTGTGTAGTGGCTGAAACCAGCGCTCACTCACTCACACGCCCTTTGCCACTCTGTGCCTGGCTCACCCTTGGCAAACATGGGATCTGGGCCAGTAGTGCAAGTCGAGCTCAGCCTTCTAGGCTGAGTGGGTGAATTAGCCCAGTGGCTGGAGCAAACCTCAGGCAGAGGTGCCTCCAGCCACACAAGTTTCTGGCTGGTGAAGTGACACCCTAAGGATCCTGTGGCATTATTATTTATCAATTAAACTAAATTTTTAAAAATTGAAAATCATTCTGTTGCACTCATTAATTATGTACATGGTATTTATTTGGGATGGGAAGACATAAAAAAAGCTTCATTTCTATGGATCACCATGGTACAGAATGAAGACAGAGGTTACTGAGATAATGTACGTTTTCTAAAAATTTGCAGAAACTTTAGGAATGGCTTTGGACCTTTTAAGAATTTTCTTATTTCCTTTGGCTGTCATCTGGATTATTGGGTAGCTACACAGTTAATTAAAGCTTCTTATGACAAATTAGATGCATGTGAAAACCTATACACATTTACTCTATAGGGAAATGGATTTTACATAAATAGGTAATTTATTTATAGGTAATTTGACCCTTTTCTCCAGATGCATTGAAGATTTTTTATTTAGTGTTGACCTTGGATAATCTGATGACTATATAGCTTGGGAATGTTTATCTTGTATAGTATCTAGCAGGTGTTCTCTGAACTCCTTGTATATGGATGTCTACCTCTCTAGAGATATTAGGGAAGTTTTCTTCAATTATTTTCTTAAATATGTTTTCCAGGTGGCTTACTTTGTTTTCTTCTCTATCAGGAATGCCTATAAATTGTAGGTTTGTTTGTTTTATATAATCCCACATTTCTTGAAGGCTTTGTTCATTTTGAAAGATTATTTTTTCTTTATTTTTGTTCGATTGGGTTAATTTTAAATACCAACTTTCAGACTCTGAAATTCTTTCTTCCGTTTGGTCTAGATTATTGTTAACGCTTTCATCTGTATTTGGAAATTCCTTCAGTGAGCTTTTCATTTTCGGAAGTTCTTTCTCTATTTTTTTCTTAAAAATATTTATATTTTCCTTCCTTATTTGGGTTCCTTTCATGGTTTCTTTGTGTTGATTTTCAACCTTCTCTTGGATCTCATTAAGCTTCTTTGCAATCCATGCTTTAAGTTTTTTATCTGTAATTTCTAAGTTTTCATTTTGCTTAGGGTCCATTGCTAGAGAGCTAGTGAGATCCTTTGGTGATGTCTCGTTTATATTTTTCATGGTGTCAGAATTCTTATGCTGGTTCCTTCTCATCTAGGAAGATGTTTTTTTCTTTTTTTTCAGGTTTTTTTTTTTCTCTCATATATATCCCCTCCCCCAGGAGGTGTGAGTATAGAGTATGTTGGTTAGGGTCTTTTGGCTTTGCTTCTATAGCCCTGTGCACTTCCATCAGCATGTTTTATATTGGCCTATGCAGTTTGACCTGCAGGTCAGTAGGTGGCTGTATGGGTAAAACCAGTTGAGGCACAAGCAGCTAGATATGTATTCAATTTTTGTTTACTGTGAAATGCTGTCTTTGTTTCAGGTGATGGGCTGGTCAGTGGAGTGCCCAGTGCCCTGAACTTCCTGTTCAACAGTTGAGGGGGGCACAAATGAGCAGAGCTGGTTTCCCGGCTTGCCCATGGATACCTCAATGACTAGTGCAGCACCAACTCTGAACTGGTCTGGCTAAGGGAGCCCTGGTGAGATGCACCAAGGTCTCTGCAGAGGATTGAAGGGCTACACCAGCTGTATGTCCTAGATCAGCAGGAATGAGATCAGCTTCTCTATCACACCCCTATTCCAGTGCCCATTCCAGTGTTCAGATGCACACTTTTGTCTATCTCCAGGCCACTGTGTAGCTGAGCACCAAGGAAAATGTCTGTTTCATGGCTCTCTATAGGAGTCAGTGGTTTCCAGGTGGAACCTCTTCAGTCCTCCTAATACAGACAGATTTATGGCTCACCTGTTCTGCCAAGGGGTAATGCTGCTGCTTTGTGTAGGGAAGGGGAGGGGCTCCACCTTTAGGCTGATGTGAGTTGTGATGGTGGGTCCACCCAACCTGTGGCCCCTGTTGGTGGTGGTCAGGTGCCAGCAGTGGCGGGCTGGGCTGAGATAATTTCCCAATTCCCAGGCCACTAGGTGGCTCACTGGATGGTGTGTACAAGTCTGAAATGGGCTGGACCAGGATGATGTCAGCCTAGATTTTGGGTACTGACTGTGACAGCGATGGCTGGGCTGGTTCCCAAGTCACCAGCAGAATTCTCAGGGAGGGACAGGAAGAGGCTCAGGTGATGGGCCTCATCTGGGGCAGTGGAGAGTGGCAGCTGTGGGGCCTGTGGCTCACTCACACTTCCTTCCCACAGAAGTGGCACTGGACTTCACTGTTGAGGGTGCACAAAGGTGCCTGATGTCCCTATGCCCTTCTTGGCCCACGGGCAGCAGGGGAAGAGGCAGCAGTGTCGGATGCTGCACAGGGCGTATTGGCAGCCTCTGGGAGTTGGCAGCCTCTGGAAGTTTAGCTGCAGCTGCAGTGCTTAGGCAAGGGCAGGGCAAGTGCACTGTGGGTGCACTTGGGGACTCATTGCCAAAGTAGGCATGCCCCATAGGGGCAGGGAATCAGGATCCAGTGCTGTGTATTGGTCTGCTCCCTGTGCATTGCACCGTGGCTGCAGTTTCTGCGTTAGGCAGCATGGAAGTGTCCTGGCTCCTCATGTCCTCCCGGCTTTTGGGTAGCAAGGGCAAAGGCAGAGGCAGAAGCCTTGGTGACAGTGACTGGGAAGGGCCTAGCAGAAACCTCTGGGAGTTGTGCTCTCAGAGCAATGCTGAGGAATAACAAAATGGCTACTTTATAGACAGAGCAGCCTGAGGGCTGCTGGTTGCCCATTTTTATGTTTATTTCTTGATTGCATGCTAAACAATGGCTGCATTTTCAGGTGGGGGCAGGGTAGCTGCACAGCACCCGGGGGCCTGTAGCTGAAGCAGTCAAACCCTGCCTGAGAGAGCACAGCAAAAGCCTTGGCTTCCCACTCCTCCACACCAGGACTGCCGAGTCAGCTTTGGCGGGGTCCCTGGAAGTGCCCCACCTCCCTGTTCCTTCCCTGGCCTGCAGATGGTGGGGGCAAAGGCAGCAGTGGTGGAAGCGACGGAGGGCCTATCTGTGGCCTCTGGATGTTGATCTGGAGCTGCGGTGTTCAGGCAGTGAAGGGCTGCTGCGCTGGGGGACCTGGTTGTGGGGGTGGGTACCCATTTGGCTGGACACAGTGGAGGCAGGGGATTCCGCCTTGCATTGTTTGCCTGCTCCTTTATACTATGGCCAGGTGGACGAAGATGCCCGGCTTTCATTCCTTTTGATCCCCAAGCAACAGCTGGTGCCAGGCTGCTTGGGGATCAAAAGCCTGCTGGATTCCACGTCGGCTGGAGCAGTACCTCTCCTCAGTCTGAAGCACCTCCCTCTTTCAGTCCGGAGAAACTGGGGGATCGATGATGCTCTCCAGTGACTAGGATTGTAAAGGTCCATGTTGGAGTTGCAGAACCCCTGGTGTTCCTGGAAAGGGGTCCCGATCCACACCCAAAGAGACGGTTCTTGGATCTCGTGTAAGAGAGAACTCAGGGTGAGTCCCTGAAGTTAAAGTAAGTTTAATTTAGAAAGTAAAGGAATAACAAAATGGCTACTTCATAGACAGAGCAGACTGAGGGCTGCTGGTTGCCTATTTTTATGTTTATTTCTTGATTACATGCTAAATAAGCAGTGGATTATTCATACCTCCCCTTTTTAGACCACATAGGGTAACTTCCTGATGTTGCCATGGCATTTGTAAGCTGTCATGGCACTAATGGTAGTGTAGCAGTGACGACGACCAGAAGTCACTCTCAGTGCCATCTTGGTTTTGGTGGGTCTTGGCTGGCGTCTTTACTGCAAACTGTTTTGTCAGCAAGGCTTTCATGACCTGTATCTTGTGCCGACCTCCTATCTCATCCTGTGACTTAGAATGCATAACCTGTCTGGGAATGCAGGCCAGCAGGTCTCAGCCTTATTTCTGTCAGTGTGTATTTAAGATGGAGTTGCTCTGGTTCAAACGCCTCTGAAACGGGGGTCTGTCACTCACTCATCCTTTCCCCTTATTAGGAAGCCTTTCCTGGCTTCATGTAGCTCCCAGCTGTGCAGTCTACTCGGCTTCACTCTCTTCTGCTCTTCATGGTTCCTGTTGCTTCTCTGGTGAATTTCAGAGTGCTTTCGTCAAGGATTCCCTTAAAGTGTTAGTATTTATTTGCTATTTTAACTCCTCTCTGTGAGAGAGGCACCCACTAGCTGCTTGTAGTCAGCCATCATGAACTGGAACCTATTAAATGCACATTTGTTCAAGTTGTTTCTCTTGGGTAGGATAAAGAAGAACAGGATAAAGACGAGTAGGATAAAGTTGTTTCTCTTTATCCTACCCTTCACTATGCTTATGTACAAACAAAAATATTAATATTTTACTTCTTTTATAAGGCTTTACTTGATCTGGTTTCTGTCTATTTCTGCAGACTCCTTGCTAATCAGTTTTTCTTTCCCTGTTGGCTGATATCTCACATTGACCTTACTTTAGCCATCCTATGTTTTACTTCAGAGATTCCATGAAGGTTGTTTCTCTTTCCTCACATTACCAATTGTCTCTTACTTGCCCGTTATATTTTGGCTGAAATATCATTTTCTTAGGGAAACTTTTCTGATTACCCAGACTTATAGCTCCCTGATATATGTCCTTATGATTTTTTAAAAAGTTCATAGCTAGTTAATACTTAAACAGTTATTTGATTAATATATGCTTCCAACTTTAAGCATGATTAAGACAAGAAGACATGATTGGTTTGCTCTTCATTTTATGTCCAACATCTGTATCGGGACTCTTCTTGATATTTGTTGAATAGAAGAACCCTAAATAAACAATTGTTATGGCTAGCATAAACTAAATAATTTTATATTTACAACTTGTAACTTACAACATATTTAAAATATTACAGAAATACTGTCAATCATGTGATGAGATAATGGGAAGGAATTGAAAATGTACATTAAGCAAACAATAACTCAGTATATGGTTTTAACATTTAATATAATTTCTTCCTGATCCCTGTGGAGCAAAATTGCAGACATTTTCAAAGATAAATACAATACATTTAAAAGAGACTATATCTCATTATTAAATAAATAATGTTAATATTTAAATTTTCTTTTAACTATATCTTGATGTCTTGTATTAATGAACTTTACATGTAAGATAAAACCAGGTTTATGTAACAACTTTTTCTCTTACTAGCTGGTGAGTAGCAAAAGTAATGATTCATGACTTCTAAATCTAGCATAGAAAAAGCAATGTCTCTTGGTCCTGGCTATCTTGGGATATTTACCCTTTAGCCTAGCCACCGTGCTGTGAGACAGCTAGTTCATAAGTTGAGGTTCCACTAAGGGATCTGCTGAGGTCTCTGGTGGCATCCAGATTAAATTGAAAAAATATATAAGTCAGGAAACTTTTGAGATGACATAAGCTTCAGCTGCTGTCTGACTGCAACTGCATGAGGAAATCTGAGCGAGAACTGGCTACTTGAGTCTATTTAACCCACAAACCCACAGAACCATGAAACATAAAAATAATAAATGATTATCACTGTTTAATGCCACTTGGTTTGAGGATGGTTAACAGAAACTTAGTCATTATCAAAGGAAGGGCTGGTGAAATTGTAGACACTGCATTACAAACTATCCAAACTATAGTAAATACAGAGAAAACCAAAATAACCTCAATAACCAGTGGGGCAATAGTAAGTGTTATCATAGAAGTGTAATTAAAGTTCAAGAAAGGGGAGAGGAAATATTTGAAATAATAATGGATAAACAAAACTGTATTAGTCTGTTCTCACGCTGCTGATAAAGTCATACCTCAGAATGGGCAATTTACAAAATAAAGAGGTTTAATGGACTTGCAGTTCCACATGGCTGGGGAGGCCTCACAATCACGGCGGAAGGCAAGGAGGAGCAAGTCACATCTTACATGAATGGCAGCAGGCAAAGAGAGAGAAGCAAAAGTGGAAACACCTTATAAAACTATCAGATCTTGTGAGAGTTATTCACTACCAGGAGACCAGTATGAGGAAAATGCCCCCACGATTCAGTTGTCTCCCACCAGGTCTCTCCTACAAGATACGGGAATTATGAGATTACAATTCAAAATGAGATTTGGATGGGGACACAGAGCCAAACCATATCAATAGCCAATTTTGCTTTCAGTGACAAATTTACACATCCAAGAAGCTCACCAAACCTGAAGCAGGATTAACTAATTAATTAATTAAAAACACTTCAAGCACATAGCAAATTTCTGATAATCCGCTGATAAAGAGGCAAATCTTAAAAGAAGCTAGAGTAAGAGAAATCATTATACATGGAGAAACAAGAAAAAGAATTACAGCAGATATCTTATCAGAAATTATGTATGTCCAAGGATATTTTTCACGGTAGTGAAAAACAAAACAAAAGAAAACAAAAGCTTGACAATTTAAAATTAAATACTAAAAATATATTATAGAAATGATGATAAAACAAGCCCTTTCCAAACAAGCAAAGGCTGAGAGAATTAATCACTAGCAGAACTGTACTACAGGGAAATTTAAAATAAGTTCTTCATGATGGAAAATGTAAATCTGAATACAGTGTATGCAAAGCATTAAAGAGTGTCTGATATGGTAAGTATGTGAAGAGCAGAAAAATGCATTTTCCTAATTTTTAAATCTCTTTTAAAGATAATTGGCTGTTTAAAGCAATAATAATGTACTGTGGTGTGTATCACATATGTGGAAGGAAAACATGTGACAACCAAAGCACATTAAAAGCGGCAAGAAGAAGAAATGCAAGAGTATTGTTTTAAGGTTCTCAGCGAATAGATTATGTGACACATTATTTGAAGATAGGCAGTGATAAATTAAAGATGTATTCACAAATCATATAATAACCAGTAACAACATAAAACAACATATACAGCTAAAAGGGCAGTTTTGAAAACAACATCAAATAATAAAAATAATCAACAAGAAGGCAAAAAAAAAAAAGAGAAAAAGAAGTGATAAAAGAATTAGGACAAATAGAAAACAAGGAACAAGATGTATTGAAACCCAACAATATCAGCAAATCCAGTAAATGCAAATGCCATAAATATTCCAATTAAGAGGCAAAGGTGGTACCATATTAGGTAGATGCATAAGATTTAACTGTATCCTATTTGTAAGAAACTCATTTAAAATATAAAGTCACATTATAAATAGAAGGATAGAAAACTAACTACCCTGCAATAACAACTTAAAAACTTTGAGTACCTATGTTAATATCAGCCAAAATAAACCACAATTAAGAAATATCTGAAATAAAGTACAATGTTTCATAATGATAAGGAAGTCAATTCATCAAGAAAGTATAATCCTAAATATATATTAACCTAATAAGAGAAGTTCAAAATACATGAAGCAAAAGTTGATAGAGCTTAAAATAAAAAGAGATAAATCTACAATTATAGTTTCAGTTTAAACACTCTTAGTGATAGGGCAAGTAGACAGAAAATCATCAAGGATACATAAGATTCAAGGAGCACTGTCAATCAGCTTTACCTATCAGATATTTATGGAATATTCCACACTCCAAAAGCAGAAGATGCTTTTTTTTAGGTGCACGAAGAATAATAAAACATGGATTACATATTCAGGGATATGTAAAAATTTCAATACAGATGAATAAATTATTTAATGTATGTTCTCTAACAAAAGTGAAATAACTGGAATACATAATAAAAATATATTTGAAAAAAATCCCAAATTATGTAGAAATCAAAGAAGACACCTTTAAGTAACCCATACATGACAGAAGAAATTATAAAGAAAATTAGGAAATATTTACTATCAAATAAAAATAAAAACACAACATAGCAAATTTTGTGGGATGCAATTAAAGTTCTAAAGTAGTGTTTCAGAGTGAAATTTATAGATTTCAGTTTTATATCATAACATAGCTGTTTAACTCAGTGGAATAAATAGCTACCTTAAAAACTAGAACCCCCTCCCCCCCAAAAAAAGATGTTCACCCCAAGGCAAATAGAATGAAATATGTAATGTATGACCAAAATTTATAAAATAGAAAATAGAAACACATCAGAGAAGAATCAATGATATTAAAACTGGTATTTCAAATAAAATCAATACAACCAATAAATCTATAGGCATATGGATGGATGTGAACTAAAAAGTGAGAGAGAGTGAGAAGGAGAAGAAAAAAGAGATGGAGAGAGGAGGCGAGAGACAGAGAGAGAGAAGGAAGAAAGCTACCATAAATATCTTACTGATATTTAAAAATAGTAAGGGGATATTATAATTTTATATCAATACCTTGAACATATTGAATTAAATATTTAAATGCCTTGAAAGACACAAACTATCCAAGCTTACTCATGAAGAAATAGATAATTTAAATAGCTCTATATTTAGATGATAATACTTCCTTCTTCAAATTCCACCAGAGTATACTCTTCTAATAATTGATCCCTGTGCGCTCGTAGTAAACTGGAAATAATCGATCCTCTTTGCAGTGGAAAGATTCCCACATAACCCCTATCCACAGATATACCTGTCTATTTAGTTTATTTTGAACTACAATTTGCACTTGAAAAATAAAACTACCTTTAATACGATCATTCTTTTGGCATATCATTGTTCCTTTTCCATTCTAATATTTTCTGTAGTGAAGATTTGAAATAACTACTAGTATGATAAATTATTTTCTTAAATTAGGAAATATAATGTGATCTTGAAATTTCAAACTGTAAATCCATGTTTCAAATAATGTTTTTAAGTTGTATGTTTTAAGTGGTATGGGTCTAATTAGTATATAAGGCAGATGGTCTTTTGGCAGTACACCAAAGTTATAATTTAAATAAAGACTGTTTGAAAATCCTAGTTTGATCCTATTCTGTTTTCTGTGGCATATGCTTCTTCTGATGGAAGATCAGAATATGTGATAAAGCGAATGATAAATAAGGACATATGGTATACATCTGTCCACTTTTAATGAAATCCAAGTGTTTAATAATTGTGTGTAAATGCTTCAATTAATCCTAAACTTAGCAGGGTATTCTAGTCCTCATTTTTTTGGTTGTTTCATAATTATGAAGTTATTTTAGTAACTGTTTTCTTCAGTTATTTTTTCAATAAAACTGCTCTCCACATTCTGGTAGATAATACAACAGAGTGTTTCATCTTGAGGACAGCAAAGTCAGAAAGCTTGGGTTCATATGCTCCACCCACCAAATCTTCATTGTATCTATGTTATTCTTTAAAATGCCACTTAAAAAATTTGAGTACCTATGTTAATATCAGCCAAAATAAACCACAATAACTCTTGGTAATATGTTGGTGATTAAATAAAATAATGCATGTTAAGGATTTAACAGAGTACATTACTACCAATATTAATTAACTATTATTATATTATCATTATAGTTACTATTAATATTCTGTCACAAAAGGACATCAGTTGTAATTCAAGTAGTTTTTTTGGTTTTATTTATTGATAAAAATTGTATATATTTATCATGTACAACATGTTATTTTGAAATAGCTATATATTGTGGGATGATTAACTGGAACTAATTAGCATATGCATAGCTTCACAACTTTTTATGGGGAAAACTCATAAAGTTTACTCTATTAATTAACAATTTGTAAGCAAACAATACATTGTTATTAACTACAATTATTGTGTTGTACAATAACTCTCCCAAACTTATTCCTCTTGTCTAACTGAAATGTAGTATTCTTTGACCAACATCTCCCCAACTCCCTCATCCCTATCTAGCCCATGGTAACCACTATTCTACTCTCTTCAAGTAGTTATGTCAAATATTTGTGGTCATTTATACCAAAACCTTGTTAGACATTTTTCCTAGGTTAGAGTGAATCTTTAGTTTTTCAAAAGATCAACAGTTCCTAAGTAGCAGTGACTACTGCAGCTTCACAGTGGCTTTGCCAACATTGCATATATTCAGCCTACCAAAAAATAACATGACCTTTATGATAATAAACTAACTTTAGTTAGTTTATTATGTTAACAGCATAAGCCTGATCAGCATGATGTCAGTCAGTTGTGTCAACAAAGGATGACACTAACCTAGAGGGATCAGATAATTGACACCATGAGCAATGGGTTGTTTCATCACTAAGGAGCCAATTCAAGACTACAGTGAAGTGGTTTCATACCTTCTATTCTACCTTAGTGAGTCAAGACTAAAATTTCCATGCCTCACTAGCTCCAGAGAGTTGGATGAGAAATTGTCTCATCGGAGTCTTCTGTAAGAGACAGAGTCTCCCACGAAATAGAGAGGTAGATGAGAAATGTTCCTATGATAGTTCTTCACAAGACTGCCTACCTTGACATGTTCCAGGGAGAATCAAAAGCATCTACCAAGAATTAGGTGAGGGTGCAGTAGAGCTTTCCTTCTGTGGCTTATATGGAGGCAAATAGGTTGCCACCATGCCATGGCAGACATTCACTTACATGTCTATGAATAATTTTTCCTTTTTTTGTATGAAATTAACAATATCTTTAGAAGATTATTTTTGGTTGAAATCTTATCTGTGTTTTAGGTTATTTTTTCTCTGCTGCCACTGCCACTACCACTACCAAATACATCACCACCACCACCACCACCACCACCACCACCATCAACACATAAATGTTTATATCATTCACTACCTTCCAGATACAATTATCAACACCATTTCATTATTACAACAGACCTATGTGGTTGGTATTTTTAAAATTCTCAAACTATAGGTGAGAAAAATGATACATAAAAGACATTAAGTCATGATGTATGAATGCCAATATGCAGTCTTTCTTTTCAGAAAAAAATATTCTTTTGAGATTCCTCAACTTTGATGAGGCATTAGTTCTACCTCTGGATTAACTGCCTTAAAAGCATATGGCCCTGTAATTAACTAGCCACACCAACTAGCTAATGAGGGAGGAGAAAACTTTTATTTTATCTTCGTGGTGTAGAAAAGCATGTTACTTAGAGGCCTGTCTGATGGGCAGACCATTCTTTCAATTCTTTAAATCCATGTGCACACTATAGTTATTTTTTCACATCTCGCTCAAGACCAGCAGAAACCTTACAACTTAAACTGCATTATTTTTTCTTTTCTTAGTATTGCTTTTTATGAATTGCACTTGGCCTTTATATTATTGACCTTTTTTGAAATCTCTTATTAAAGAACTCTGTGAAACTCTTTGCTATAATTATGAGTGCTGTTAAGACTATTGCTTATATGTTGTTTTATCATCTTTTCATGAGCGTATGAGAGAAATTTCTGCTTCCCATCATAGATAGTTTGCCCTTTTTTGAGTAACTAGTTTATTTCTCCTTCTGCTAATTGTGAATAATGCAATTAAGGCTTTCCAAACACCTTTTAAGGAAAATCTGTTCTAGATATTGTTAATAGGTGCTTGGGGATTAAAACAAAACAAGTTATCCTTCTTGCTAATAAATGTGTTGGTTTAACAAAGAAACCAAGTTAATATCGGTTATTTCTTCTCCAGATTTGTCAAGCCTTTGTTATATATAAACTTGAATCTCCTAGAGTATGTGTGTTGAAAATAAAAGTTGGCCTGTCCAAAGTACTTTTCTTCTTAGAGTTTCAGCGAATATTTTTGAAACTGACTTTATTGACCATATTTTTCTTTAACGTAACCACTAGAAAGGTTAAAATATTTTTTAACCTAACTGCTGCCTGATTAATTACTACATAGCCTTATACATGTTCTAATATTTGACTTAATTATAGTCAAATATTCGACCTAAGTTATAGTCAAATATTAGAACATGTATAAGGCTACATAGTAATCATGGCTTCCTATTTTATTGTTGCTTTGCTCTGAGTTTCTCAAATAATTATTCTCAACTACAATTTATTTTTACCTTATATGACATACTTCAATACCTTAAATTCATTTTTCCAAATAAAAAATAAATGAATGATGGTATCATAAATGCTGAACTGATAATGTTGCTTTAATTACAGAACTGTATATATACTTATTATTACTTGTAGCCACCTGGAACTCACAACAGCACAATAATTGTTACATAGTTTTGGGTTTTTTTAAGTGGAGTTTGATTATCTGGAATATTATGGAAATTGTTTTA